>NC_000001.11:52735653-52887168 GCF_000001405.40 Homo sapiens | reverse complement strand
ACCTAAATTCAGAGGACAGAGGTAGACAATTTTTGCACATCCATCTTGAACTTAATCATTACACAGAAAAATAGCTGGAAAACTATTATGTTTTGAATATATGTTGAATACATACGATTTTTACTGCAGACATGATACATAGCCCATAGTGCCCAGAGCTGAACCTCTGGTTGAGAGAAGTTGCCAAGGAGCGGGAAAAATGTCTTGAAAGATCTAAAACAAAAAAAAGTACAAAGATGTTAATCCAGAACAGTTAGGCCAGTGCTCAGGGATATAATAATTTGTACTATATAATTAATATAATAATGTATATAATTTTCACAGCCGGGCATGGTGGCTCATGCCTGTAATCCCAGCACTTTGGGAGGCCAAGGTAGGTGGATTGCTTGAGCTTAGGAATTCGGGACCAGCCTAGGCAACAAGGTGAGCCCCCGTCTCTACAAAAAAAAAAAAAAAAAAAAAAAAAAAATTAGCTGGGCCTGGTGGCACACGCCTGTAGGGCCAAGTGGGAGGATCCTCAAGTGGGAGGATCACTTGAGCCTGGGAAGTCAAGGCTGCATTGAGATGTGATCCCGCCACTGCATTCCAGCTCCAGCCTGGGCAACAGAGAGAGACCCTGACTCAAAAGGTTGAAAAAAAAAGAATTTTCAAATTTTAAACATTTTCCCCACAGGGTCAACTTCTCCCTGTGACCGAGCATACAATGAAGCTATTATTTAAGAAATTGCATTCTGTATTAAACCCTTTATTATGATCAGTATCTCATTGCATCCTCAATCTTGCACACTGTCAGCCTCATTTTACAGACAAGGAAAGCTGACCTTCTAGAAATGACTTTCCCAATATCAGAGAAATAGGATTTGAACATAAGGCTAACTGACTCTAACACGTTATCACTGTATCACTGAGTACAGCCTTTAAGAAAAGCTCAACACTGGGCCAGGCACGGTGGCTCACGCCTGTAATCCCAGCACTTTAGGAGGCCGAGGCGGGCAGATCACGAGGTCAGGAGATCGAGACCATCCTGGCTAACATGGTGAAACCCCGTCTCCACTAAAAATACAAAAAATTAGCCGGGCATGGTGGCGGGTGCCTGTAGTCCCAGCTACTCGGGAGGCTGAGGCAGGAGAATGGCGTGAACCCGGGAGGTGGAGCTTGCAGTGAGCCAAGATTGTGCCACTGCACTCCAGCCTGGGCGACTGAGCAAGACTCTGTCTCAAAAATAAAAAAAAGAAGAAAAAAAAAAGAAGAAAAGCACAACACCATGAAATTACCTATAGGTCACCAATGCTGTCATCTTACAACTTGAACTTGGCCAATTCTGTATGGTTGCATGCTACTCCAAAAACAAGAGAGAGAAACCAACATTTGAATAATCCATCATTTACAACAAAATGTTTCAAAATCTGGGAACGATTGAACAAATTTAGATACATCTACTTGGCAAAATATCAATCACATAACGATTATATACACACAATATCTTAACAATGTGGGAAAAATTACAAGAACAAGGGGCATCTGTTTAAAGATGCTGGACTGAGCACGAATTTACCTCTACTCCTCCATAATCCCATTAACAGAAAGTAAAACAAAGAACAATGCACATGGAAAAATGGTAACTGATTTAATACCTAGCACTTAGAAAGGTTAAAACACAAACCAGGCTGGGCACAGTGGCTCACGCCTGTAATCCCAGCACTTTGGGAGGCCAAGGCGGGCGGATCACAAGGTCAAGAGATCGAGACCAACCTGGCTAACACGGTGAAACCCCGTTTCTACTAAAAATACAAAAAAAAATTAGCCGGGCATCTCAAAAAAAAAAACAAAAACCCAAAAAACAAAACACAAAACAAAAAACACAAACCAATTTGAAGAGAACCCCTAAGAGACTTAAAAATTTGGCACGTGAGGTACTTCCTGAAGTGAAATTACAGTGGGGCTGTAAATAGGAGGAGTGGGCCGGGCACGGTGGCTCATGCCTGTAATCTCAGCACTTGGGAGGCCAAGGCGGGTAGATCACCTGGGGTCAGGAGTTTGAGACCAGCCTGGCCAACACGGTGAAACCCGTCTCTACTAAAAAAATCCAAAAATTAGCCGGGTATGGTGGTGTGTGCCTATAATCCCAGCTACTCAGGAGACTGAGGCAGGAGAATCGCTTGAAGCCAGGAGGCAGAGGTTGCAGTGAGCTGAGATGGCGCCACTGCACTGCACTCCAGCCTGGACAACAGAGCGAGACTCCATCTTGGGAGAAAAAAAAAAAAGAAAGAAAAAGAAAATAGGAAGACTGGTTCAAAGGATTCGGACTCCCCGATTTCTTCTGTGATCCTTAATAAAAACATCTGGACTGGGCAACCCCATAAACAATTCAGGGTGGGAACACCATGATAAAAACAGGGGTGTGTCTGGAGTTAAAACCTAAATACTAAATGTTGAGATCCCCTGCCCCTCAACTCTCTCCTTTTACTAGGCTTTCAGACTACTGACAATTAAGCTTATAATTTTTTTTTTCTGAATATGAATTTTCACTCTTGTTGCCCAGGCTGGAGTGCGATGGCACGATCTCGGCTCACTGTAACCTCTGCTTCCTGAGTTCAAGCAATTCTCCTGTCTCAGCCTCCCAAGTAGCTGGGATTACAGGTGCCCACCACCACGCCCGGCTTTTTTTTTTTTTTGAGGCAGTCTCGCTCTGTTGCCCAGGCTGGAGTGCAGTGGCACGATCTCGGCTCACTGCAAGCTCCACCTCCCAGGTTCACGTCATTCTCCTGCCTCAGCCTCCCGAGTAGCTGGGACTACAGGTGCCCGCCACCACGCCCAGCTAATTTTTTGTATTTTTAGTAGAGGCAGGGTTTCACCATGTTAGCCAGGAGGATCTCGATCTCCAGACCTCATGATCTGCCCGCCTCGGCCTCCCAAAGTGCTGGGATTACAGGCGTGAGCCACCGTGCCCGGCCACGCCCAGCTAATTTTTTTTTTAATTTTATTTATTGGCCGGGTGCAGTGCCTGACTCCTGTAATCCCAGCACTTTGGGAGGCCGAGGTGGGTGGATGACCTAAGGTCAGGAGTTGGAGACAAGCCTGACCAACATGGTGAAACCCCGTCTCTACTAAAAAAATATATACAAAAATTAACTGGGCATGGTGGCAGGCGCCTGTAATCCCAGCTACTCGGGAGGCGGAGGGATCACTTGAACCCAGGAGGCAGAGGCGGCAGTGAGCTATGATCATGCCATTGCACTCCAGCCTGGGTGACAGAGCAAGCCTCTGACACATTCTACCTGTCTGCAGTTTTCAATCAGTCCCACTCTTAGCTGTCCCCATGGACAGCTCAGAATCACCCTAACTTTAGGAAAATCTCTAACACAATGGAACAAAATAAATAGGAAAAAAAGCAACTTGCAGGAAACAGTAGCCTTGGACGAACAGGAAAACTTAAAAATTAGGCTGGGCATGATGGCTCATGCATGTAATCCCAGCACTTTTGGAGGCTGAGGTGGGCAGATCCCTTGAGGTCAGGAGTTTGCGACTAGCCTGGCCAACATGGTGAAACCCTGTCACTACTAAAAGTACAAAAGTTAGCTAGGTGTGGTGGCATGCAGCTGTAGTCCAGCGACTTGGGAGGCTGAGGTGGGAGGATCACTTGAACCCAGGAGGTGGAGGATGCAATGAGCTGAGATCACACCACTGCACTCCAGCCCGGGCAACAGACCGAGTCTCAAAAAAAAAAAAATCTTTTTTTTAAATTGGCCAGGCATGGTGGCTCACACCTGTAATCCTAGCACTTCAGGAGGCCAAGGCAGGTGGATCACTTGAGGTCAGGAGTTCTAGACCAGCTTGGCCAACATGGTGAAATCGTCTCTACTAAAAACACAACAATTATTGTGTTTTTACAGGTGTGCATTACCACACCTGTAATCCCAGCTACTTGGGAAGCTGAGGCAGGAGTATCACTTGAACCCAGGAGGCGGAGGTTGCAGTGAGCTGAGATGGTGCCACTGCACTCCAGCCTGGACAACAGAGTGAGAGCCTATCTCAAAAAGATAAAATAAAATAAAATAAAATTTAAAATTATCATTATTACGTTCAAAGAGAAAAATAGATATAGAACTATGAAACAAAAACAGGATATTATATTTTTAGAAGAGGATTCAGAACAAAAAAGATAAATGAGCTAGATATGAAAAGATGAGTCTGGGAAGGCCAACATCCCAGAAAAAAATGATTAAAGAAATGTCCCAGGGAGGAAATGAGCTTCCTGACTGATAAGTACTCAACAAAATATATGAAAATAAACCCACAAAGAAGAAAAAAATTAACAAAAAATAAACAAAAAAATGAAAATAAACCCACAGGGTAAGCCATTGTGATTTCTGAACACTGAGGACAAAGGACAAAAACCTTAAAGCTTAAAAGAAAATTGCATGGGAGTTCTCAACAGTGATCCTGACAAGTAAAAGACAATGAAGCAAACATTTTTAAATTATGAAGGAAAAATATTTCAAAGCTAGAATTCTATACCCAGCCATTTGATCAATTAAATGTGAGGGTAAAATAAAGGCCTTTTTAAACAGGTATGGTCTCATTTCAAGACTCTTTTCTTAGGAAGCTACTGGAGAATATGGTCCAACAAAAGGTGGGAGTAAACCAAGATACAGGGAGGCACATAAGCCAGGAAACACGGAATCCAACACAAGAGAGGCAAAGGGAGTCCGAGGATGACAGCAGTCCACCATATACGGTGTACAAAACAAGCAGACCACATGGAAGGAATGCAAAGGTAAGAAAGTCCTGAGAAGGTGAAGTGTACAGAATATGTATGAAGATTTATACCTTGAGTATACACTTAGAAAGGCTGTGCATAGAAACAGTGAGAAAAAGAATCTTAGTTTCCCAAAGTGGGAAAATGAATTGATAGATTCCTAAAGCGATAAAGTCAAGAACAGCAGCATAATATGTTATTTAGAAATAAGGAAGTTGGCTAGGCGCGATGGCTCATGCCTGTATTCCCAGCACTTTGGGAGGCCAAGGTAGGCAGATCGCTTAAGCTCAGGAGTTTGAGAACAGCCTGGCCAACATGGCAAAACCCCATCTACAAAAAATACAAAAATTAGCTGGGTGTGGTGGCACACACCTATAGTCTCAGCTACTTGGGAGGTTGAGGTGGGAGGACCACCTAAGCCTCCGAGGTTGAGGCTGCAGTGTGCTGTGAATTGTGCCACTGTGCTCCACCCTGGGAGACAGACCCTGTCTCAAAAAAAAAAAAAGAAACATCAATAAAGTAAATAGTTTTAAAAAAAAAAAGCTGATGAGAAAGAGGACCGAAGTAAGTCATATGCAACAAAATGTTAACAGAGATAGTTTTGGATGGAAAGATATGGGTTAGTAATAAGTTTTTCTCTATTTTTCCCACTTTCTACAATCATATTATTATGATTTAGGAAACTACATTTTCTGTAATTAGAGATTACTCTGGATTTTATAAATAAGAATGTGGTTCCTGTACCAGATCTTGGAGAAGAGTACGCCTCTGGAAGTCACGGGATATCCAAAGCTGTCTGTCAGATGTCAGGTGGGCTATGATACCTGCAGCAAAATAGCTGACTTCCATTTCCCTGCTACAGAGTAAACTGTTGATATGCTTCAGCACATCTTCGGTCACCAGCTTGGAAGAGAGCTCTCTGACTTCTGCTATGTTGTTCTACAGGTCAGATGGAGCAGAGAACCCCAGAGACAAGAAGGGAGGGGAGAATCAGGAATTGGCTTTTTTCCCTTTCCTGCTTCTCAGGTCAGATAAATTCAGAACTCTTATTCTTATACCCGCCTCCGCCTCAAGCTAGCCTAAAACCCACAATCCAACTCCCTTGATGAGGATGATCATTAACAACAATCACTAAATAAGTACTTACTAAGTGCCAGGCACAGTACTAGATAAATAAAATTGTCTTTTTATCTACCTTATCTCATTTAATCTTTAAAATACTACTACAAAGAAATGTGACACTAAGCAAGACAAACTTGTCAAGTTCATACTGCTAATAACTGGATGAACTAGAATACAAATCAAGGCCTAATTCAAATACTTAACATTACTGAAGGCCTGCTCAATGTTACGTTATCTTTTAACAACAACAATGAAAGTCAGGCAGTATTTTATTTTATATGTTACACTAGTTTTCTATGCTGTGTAACAAATTACCACAAACTTAGTGGCGTAAAACAACATGCATTTATGATTCCCTGGTTTCTGTGGGGCAGGAGTCTCAGCATGACTTAGCTAGACCCTCTTCTCTGAGATCTCACAGGGCTGCAATCAAAGTGTTGGCTGGGCTGCATTTTCACCTGGAGGCTCCACCGGGGGAGAATTTACTGCCAACCTCACTCAGACTGCTGGCAGAATTCATTTCTGGTGGCTGCAGGACTGAGTGATTCAGTTTCTTGCTGGAGGCCACGTTCGGCTCCTAGAAGCTGCCCCAAGTTCCTTAAAAGGTGGGCTTCTCCCTCCTCCAACCACTTACTTCATGACTGTTTGCTCCTTCAGGGCCAGAGAGAAAGAGTCCCTACAGTGGGCCTGCTAGCAAGACAGATACATATATATAAGTATATAGTAACATAATCATGGGAGTGATATTTTATCATCTTTGCCATATTCCCTTGGCTAGAATCAAGAAACAGGTCCTGTCCACACTCAAGGGTAGGGGATGTCAGTGCCAGGAGGCTGGAATCACTGGGAGAGTCTGTCTACAAAAATGAAAAACCAAAGGTTTAATGAGGTGAAACAGTCAAAGTAAACACAGCAGTTTGTGTTAGCATTAACTGCTGCTTCTGATGAACCATTCAGGAAAGCACACTCTAGACACTAGTATATTGAGGCACATAGGACACTAAAGATTGAAGCAGAAATTGAGATGTCCCCCCCACGCCTGTTTTTCCCAAGACCAGCTATATCTCTCATCTACGCATGATTTCAGTGTTAAGTCTATCATATGTTACCCCCTAACAAGACATTCTTAGCACAACTGAGAGGGGCACCACAGGTGAGTCCCAAGATTTTTCTTGTAAATCCTCACATTCTGGATCTCTCAAAAAAAAAAAAAAAAAAAAAGTGGGCTGGGTGCGGTAGCTCATGCCTATAATCCCAGCACTTTGGGAGGCTGAGGCAGGTGGATCACAAGGTCAAGAGATTGAGACCATCCTGGCTAACATGGTGAAACCCTGTCTCTACTAAAAAAAATACAAAAATTAGCTGGGCGTGGTGGCGCATGCTTGCAATCCCAGCTACTCGGGAGACTGAAGTGGGAGAATCACTTGAACCCGGGAGGCAGAGGTTGCAGTGAGCCGAGATCACACCATTGCACTCCAGCCTGGGTGACAAGAGCGAGACAAAAATAAATAAATAAATAAATAAATAAATAAATAAATAAGAAAAGTGGAAGATCTTTTAGGTCAGCTGGTAGGATATGTAGAATTGTACAGGATATATGAGGCATCAATCCAACTTTCTGGCATTATTTCCCATTCCTTTTCACCTTCCCACCTTTTCCCCAAATTCTAACCATTCCATTTTACAGTGTTCCTCAATGATTACACTTATTGATTACATTATAAATAATCTTCCCTAGCCAAAAATGACTTTGTCCCTTCTTTATACTTTTCCGTACCTTCCAGATTTCCAGTATTAATCATTTACTCCTCTCTGTGAAGCCTTTCACATCTACTTTGTTGTGAGTCCTGTATGTGTGAGATACACGAAGATAAGGCACAGTCCCTCCATGTTTTCAACGAGTTCAGGACCTAGAACCAAGGGTCCCAATGGACTCAGTGCCTCTCTTGCAGCACTCACTTGTCAGTTGTAAATCAGATACCTGTTTGTACACGTCTAACACTGCCTTCCCAAAGTTATGAGCACCATCACCTTGACATATTTCATGCATCCGTATTTTTCCAATGCATATGGCATGGCAAAGTGCAGGTGCTTACTATATGTCTTTATTACTTATTGAAAAATCTTCACCTTTAGCTTTAGGAAATGAAGAAATTTCTCAATTGTAGAATACCTTGATTGAGAGTCAGTACATAAGTATCAACAAAGAAACTGCTAAAAAATAGACTTCCTGGATAAAGAAGTAGTATAGTAAAGTGATTAATATCAGAGGGTCTGGAGCCAGACTGACTGAGTTTGAGTTTTTTGGTTTGTTTTTTTTTTTTTTTTTTTTTTTTTTGAGCAGAGTTTCGTTCTTGTTGCCCAGGCTGGAGTGCAATTGGAGTGCAGTGGCACGATCTTGGTTCATTTCAATCTCTACCTCCCAGGTTCAAGCAATTCTCCTGCCTCAGCCTCCCAAGTAGCTGGGATTACAGGCATGTGCTACCATGCCCAGCTAATTTTTGTATTTTTAGTAGAGACAGGGTTTCACCATGTTGACCAGGTTGGTCTTGAACTTCTGACCTCAGGTGATCCACCCACCTCGGCCTCCCAAAGTGCTGGGATTACAGGCATGAACCACCGTGCCTGGCCGAGTTTGAGTTCTAATTAGGATAAACGGCATTTCTGGGACTCAGATTCTCTATGAAACGTGGATAACAGTGTATGGTAGAATACAAAAATAACACAACTTCTCCTATCCCTGTATATACACCCCGTAGCAATGTGACTTTACTGCCTTTAATCTGGGCTTAAATATATAACCTGTGTTGTCCTATGAAACATTAGCAAGGTGATATAAGCAGAGGTTTAAAAAGCGCTTGGACAGTGGGGCCTGCCCTCTAGAGATTGCCATGTGGAGAAGCCTGTGGACACAAAGCCCGCCAGCTGGTAAGCAGCACCAACTGTCAGACATAAGAGTCAGGCCATCTTAGACCCTCCAGCCCCAGTCAAGCCACCAGATGACTGCAGCTACATAAGTGACCCCACATGAGACCAGACAGACCAGAAGAACTTTACAGCTGAGCTGAGCTCAAACTACTGACCCACAGATTCATAAGTAAATTAAATGGCTACTGTTTTAAGCCACTAAGCTATAGTTTGTTCACAACAATAGATAACTGATATACAATAGTATTTACTCTGTAGGGCTAATGTAAAGATTAAATGAGTTTATACATGTAAATTGCTTACAATACTGCCTAGCATATAGTAGGTACTATATAAGTGTTAGGTTTTGCTTTTAAGCAATTAAAATTAATTCAAAACAATTCACCTTACCAAAAGACCAAGTACTTTGCTTTGTATTGCTGACTCTGAAAAGGTCTGTCAAAAAAATATATACATACAGGTTACTTTATCATGAAGAGAAGAACTTTACATATAAACTCAATCCTGTCTTCCCACCTCCAAGACTTGGATGAAGATTTGCAATCCTTGATTTTCAATGAAGTGCTTGCAGGCAGCTGGAGACCCATCTGTAAGATTCCAAAGTGCTTTCAAAGTAAACAAGAAGGTGACATCATCTAAATTCTCAGTAGTCTTTTGTTTTACTATTGCTAGAAGTTCCTAAAAACCAAAGAGACAGGGAGGGAGTTAGATGCTCTAATGAATAATCAATTGCGGTATAAGGAAAGCAATGTTAAGACGCATCAAACCTCGGTTCTAAACCCAAGTTCTGCCACTTAGTAGCTGTGTGATCTATTTTCTTTCTATAAAATAAATTACAACTACTTCTTACAGTTTTTGTGAGGATTAAATGAAAAAAAATTTAAGTTTAGTGAGCACTTAGTCCAGTTCTTGGTATATGGTCATCAAGTACATTATTAGCTATTCCATTATTTTTATTTAGAACACTTAGTCAACACCTTCTCTAAGCCAAGTACAAAAGAAAGAAAAAAGGGTAGAAGGCAGACAGAACAAAAGTTGGCTTTTCTCAATTAAATAAAAGAATTTTAAATTTTGGTTGTCTGATGAAAACACATAAAAGCCTAAAATTGAGGCTTTAGGAAGGGTAGGAGAGGGAAGCCTCCATACAAAGATAATATGTAACTGAGACCAGAAGAAAAAGAGGATAAGCCAGCCCAGTAAGAAATGGGGACATGCAGGAACGGGGCTGGGGGGAGAGGGGGAGGAAGCACATGCCAGGCAAAGTTTGGGGCAGGAAAAAAGTCTGCTGCTCTAAGCCACTGAGCAGGTCAGTGGGGCTAGAACACCAGGCCAGCATTCCATCACATGACCTCACATCTTGAAGAGGCCACTGGTTCACTTAAACAGACTGCAAAGTACCATTTGAGATCAACATTTCTAGAAAGAAGTCAAGCTAGTATTTATGGTCTCTTTCAATATCAGACTGTCATGTGAGAGGAAAAAGACAAAACGATTTTCACTTTAACCAGCTGATGAAAAGATACATAAAATATAACAAAGCACCAAACAAATCAGAATGTATATTTTCAAGAAGAATGAGACCACCTCAAATATTTTGCCCAATCAGGAGAGAATGTGTCAAGAGACTTCATCACAAAAATAAATCTGTGAGAGTCAAGAGAAGAGTGTTAGATGAGACGGGTGCACTCACCTAAGCAGCTAGTTAGATGAATGAGAGCAAGGCCAGGAGCAGGGGAAGTGAGCCTGTCCCTGAGCGTATCACAGTGGCCAGGCCCTTGGTCATACGATTTAGCTTAATGATACTCAAAATAACTGTGCACTATTACTACTATGACAGATACCATTTTTTCAACTGAGGCCCATTTTTCAGATGAAAAATCTAAGACACAGAGGAGACTTATCTGTTGTCGTAAGAGTGCCTGGCCTGCTCTCTTTATCTGTATCTCAACTAGTCCTGTTACCCCTCCCAGCAACTTTATGTTCCTGGGATATGTTCCTGCATTATATTATATGGCAAAACTCCTACCTGAGTTAAACGTAACTATCAGTCTACTTCATACCTCCCAACATTCAACATATTAATGTTGAAGAAGACTGAGCTCACCTGGTCTCAATTTCAATACCTGCTCATAAATTTCAAAAGGACACTTAACCGTATTTGTCAATACTACTTTATTTCCCAAAGAATTTGCTCCAAAGACTACTATTTCCTAATTCTCTCTCCTCAAACTTGAATCACCATCTTCTCACTCCCCTCATTTGATTTCATCTTTTTCATTGAGAAATACACCCACTCTTCCTAACAAAAGCTACCAATCTACTTGCATTTGCATCAACATACTCTGCCTTCCCTTCTGCTCCAATCTAAAGCAAACAACTTTATTCTACTCTAAACTCAATTTCTGCACATACAGAGATTCAGCACCAAAACTGAATCACCTCAAACTTGAATCTTCAAACTTGAATCACCATCTTGTCACTCCCCTCATTTGATTTCATCTTTTTCATTGAGAAATACACCCACTCTTCCTAACAAAAGCTACCAACCTACTTGCATTTGCATCAACATACTCTGCCTTCCCTTCTGCTCCAAACTAAAGCAAACATCTTTATTCTACTCTAAACTCAATTTCTGCACATACAGAGATTCAGCACCAAAATTGAATCACCTCAAACTTGAATCTTCAAACTTGAATCACCATCTTCTCACTCCCCTCATTTGATTTCATCTTCTTTTTCATTGAGAAATACACCCACTCTTCCTAACAAAAGCTACCAACCTACTTGCATTTGCATCAACATACTCTGCCTTCCCTTCTGCTCCAATCTAAAGCAAACATCTTTATTCTACTCTAAACTCAATTTCTGCACATACTGAGATTCAGCACCAAAATTATTTCCTTTTATTTTGCTTGTGGTGTCAACTTCTCCCTCTTTAGAACTCTTCTCGTGGGCACAAAATATGTCTTAATGTAGTCGATCTTTTTAAAGACTGACCCCACCTCTGCTTTCCTTCTCATTAAATTATATCAAAAAGTTACATCCATTTCTCACCTCCCATTTGCTATTCCATCCTATTCCAATCAGGTTTTGGCCTGCCACCCCACTGAAATAACATAATCAAGGTGACTAATGACTTCCTCTTGTCAAATCCAATGGTCAACTCTGTCCTCACGTCACTCAACCACTCAGTAGTATTTGATATGATGGCCCAATTTTTCCTGAAACATTCCTCTTGGATTCTAAAACACCCACTCTCAGCTTCCTTCTAATGCACTTTGGATGCTCCTTCTCAGTCTCCTTTTCTGGTTCATCCTATTTTTTTTCCAATAAACAGGCACATCTAGGAGAGACTGTGGGTTCAATTCCACAATAAAACAAGTAACACAAATTTGTTTTCCCACTGCATACAAAAGCTATGTTTACACTATAATGTAGTCTATTAAGTGTGCAATAGCACTATGTCTAAAAAGCAATGTGGATACCTTTTTTTTTGAGACAGTCTCACTGTGTTGCCAAGGCTGGAGTGCAGTGGCATGATCTCAGCTCACTTCAACATCCACCTCCCGGGTTCAAGGGATTCTCCTGCCTCAGCCTCCCGAGTAGCTGAGATTACAGGCTCGTGCCACCCCACCCGGCTAATTTTTGTATTTTTAGTAGAGATGGGGTTTCGCCATGTTGGCCAGGCTGGTCTCAAACTCCTAACCTCACATGATCCGCCTGCCTCAGCCTTCTAAGTTGCTGGGATTACAGGCATGAGCCACCACACCCGGCCCAATGTAGATACTTTAATTTAAAAATATTTTATGGCTGGGCACAGTAGCTCACGCCTATAATCATAGCACTTTGAGAGGCAATGGCAGGAGAATCGCTTGAGCCCAGGAGCTCGAGACCAACCTGAGTGACACGGCTAGACTCTGTCTCTATCAAAAAAAAAAATGTAAAAAATTATCTGGGTGTAGTGATATGCACCTGTGGCCCCAGCCACTCAGGAGGCTGAGGCAGGAAGATCACTTGAGCCCAGGAGGTCGAGGCTGCAGTTGAGATGGGTCCCCACCACTGCACTCCAGCCTGGGCAACAGAGAAAGACTCTACCTTAAAAAATATGTATATATATATAGAGAGAGAGAGCTAAAAAACGCTAAACCACCTGAGCCTTCAGCAAGTGGTAATCTCTTTGCTGGTGGAGGGTCTTGTCTCAATGTTGATGGCTGCCGACTGATCAAGATGGTGGCCGACTGATCAAGATGGTGATCAGGATGGGGTGGCTGTGGCAGTTTCTTAAGATAGCAATGATGTTTGCCCCATCAATTGACCCTTCCTTTCAAGAAAGAACTTCGTTCTCTTTTTATTTTATTTATTTATTTTTTTTTTTGAGACGGAGTTTCACTCTTGTTGCCCAGGCTGGAGTGCAGTGGCGCGATCTCGGCTCATTGCAACCTCCACCTCCTGGGTTCAAGTGATTCTCCTGCCTCAGCCTCCCGAGTAGCTGGGACTACAGGCGCACGCCACCACACCTGGCTAGTTTTTGTAGTTTTAGTAGAGATGGGGTTCCACCATGTTGGCCAGGCTGGTCTCGATTTCTTAACCTCGTGATCCACCCACCTTGGCCTCCCAAAGTGCTGGGATTACAGGCATGAACCACCGCACCTGGCCTAGAACTTCTTTCAAATTTGGAGTCAATCCTTTCAAACTCTGCTGCTGTCTCATCCAACCAGGTTTATATAATAAGTCAAAGTCCTTTGTTGTCATTCCAACAATGTTCACAGAATCTTCACCAGAACTAGATTCCATCTCAAAATATGTCTTTGCTCTTCCCCAACAAGCAATTCTTCATGTGTTAAAGTTTTAGATTGCAGCAATTCAGTCACATCTCCAGGCTCCATTTATAATTTTAGTTCTCTTGGCATCTACAGTTACTCCTTCCACTAAAGAATTGGACCCCTCGAAGTTATCCACAAGGGTTCCAATCAACTTCTGAACTCCTGGTAATGTTCATATTTTGACCTCCTCCCAAGAATCATGAATATTATTTTTGTTTGTTTTTGAGACAGGGTATTTCTCTGTCACCCAGACTGGAGTGCAATGGCACAATCACCGCTCATTGCAGCTTCAATCTCCCTGGGTTCCGGTGATCTTCCCATCTCAGCCTCCTGAGTAGCTGAGAGTACAAATGCATGCCACCATGCCTGGCTAATATTTTGTAGAGACAGGATTTCGCCACGTTGCCCAGGCTGGTCTCAAATTCCTGGCCTCAAGTAATCTGCTCGCCTTGGCCTCCCAAAGTGCTAGGATTACAGACATGAGCCACCGCTGTGTGTTTTCTTAATGGTATCTAGAATGGTGAATCCTTTCTAAAAGGTTTTCAGTTTACTTTGTCCAGATTCATCAGGGGAATTCCTACCTATGGCAGCTCTAGCCTTATAAAATATTTCTTTTTTCTTTCTTTCTTTTCTTTTCTTTTTTTTTTTTTTTTTGAGACAGAGTCTCACTCTGTCATCCATGCTGAAGTACAGTGGCTTGATCTCGGCTCACTGCAACCTCCACTTCCCAGGTTCAAGCGATCCTCCCACCTCAGCCTCCTAAGTGTCTAGGATTACAGGCATTTGCCACCATGCCGGGCTAATTTTTTTGTATTTTTAATAGAGACGGGGTTTCACCATGTTGGCCAGGCTAGTCTGAAACTCTTGACCGCAAATGATCTGCCTGCCTTGGCCTCCCAAAATGCTGGGATTGCAGGCGTGAGCCACCACACCTGGCCACAAAATGTTTCTTAAATAATAAATAATATAATTAATAAATAATAAATTAATAAATTACTCCCTGATCTATGGGCTGCAGAATGGATATCGTATAACAAGCAGGAAAATATTAACTTCCTTGCTTGTACATCTCCATCAGAACTCTTGGGTGGCTGGTGTATTATCAATGAGCAGTAACATTTTGAAAGAAATCTTGCCTGGTGTGGTGGCTCACACCTATAATCCCAGCACTTTGGGAGACCAAGGAGGGTGGATTACCTGAGGTCAGGAGTTCGAGACCAGACTGGCCAACATGGCGAAACCTCATCTATACTAAAGATACAAAAAAATTAGCTGGGCATGGTAGCATACACCTGTAATCCCAGTTACTTGGGAGGCTGAGGCAGGAGAATGGCTTGAACTCAGGAGGTGGAGGTTGCAGTGAGCCGAGATTGAGCCATTGCAGACTCTGTCTCAAAAAAAAATTCAAACTGCCTTCTTGACATCTCAAGCATCTCAGTAATGAACACATCCAAAATCACTCTTGATTTTTATTCTTGATTTCATCTCTATTGTAAACAGACATACAAGTTAACAAGACAAAATAAACCTAATACTTGATATTAAATACTCATAAGCATAAGATTCCACCCGTAACAGCAATGCAAATGACAAACACTTGAACATACTTCTGGAGGACATGAAAGACTTGAATAAACATACTCTTGTTCCAAGATAGGGGAAATTACAGGACGTCAATTTTCCTACATCAATCTATAATACAATCCCAAAGAAAATGGGTTTTTTTCCTCAGAAACAGGCAAGCCAATTCTGGTGTCTGCACAGAAACAACAAATAGATAAGGATAACTAAAAGAAATCCGAGGACAGATCTTAAATATTTAAGTATTGATAAAGTTAGTGACCAGGCTGAACAAAATGGTAAAACCCCGTCTCTACTAAAAATACAAAAATTATCCTGGTGTGGTTAGCTACTCAGGAGACTGAGGCAGGAGAAACGCTTGAACCCGGGAGACAGAGGTTGCAGTGAGCCGAGATGGCGCCAGTGCACTTCCAGCCTGGTGACAGAGTGGGACTCTGTCTCAAAAAAAAAAAAAAGATAAAAGTTAGTGAGTAGACAGACATGCAAATTAATGGAACAGAATAAAGTCCAAAAATAGATATATACACGGGAATTTAATATGATAAAGGTAGCATAAACAGTGCAAAGACAAGTAGAAACACACAGAGAAGAAAACTTGAACGACCCAACATCTCAAAAAAATTCCAAAGAAAAAAAAGAACAGAAATCACAGGATTAAAAACGTGAGGAGGCTGAATGTGGTGGCTACAAACATAGCTACTCAAGAGGGTCGCTTGAGCCCAGGAAGATGAAGCTGCAATGAACCATGATCATGCCACTTGCCACTACACACCAGCTTCAGCACAGGATGAGATCAAGTCTCTTAAACAAAACAAAACAAAGAATTTTTTAAAAATACTTCATGATGGAGGGAAATACTTTGCAGGTGTGCCATCGATCCCAGATGCATAGTAAAACAGAATGAATTCAACTACGTGAAAATAAAAAATTATTGCATCATAAACCATGCCATAAATGAATTAAAAATAGATAAACAGTAAAATGGGAGAAAATACATGCACCCAATATCATAGTCAAAGGCTTGTTTCCTTAATGTATAAAAAAATCCCCTCTCCCTCTCCCTCTCCCCCTCCCCCTCCCCACGGTCTCCCTCTCCCTCTCTTTCTACTGTCTCCCTCTGATGCCGAGCCAAAGCTGGACTGTACTGCTGCCATCTCAGCTCACTGCAGCCTCCCTGCCTGACTCTCCTGCCTCAGCCTGCCGAGTGCCTGCGACTGCAGGCGCGCGCCGTCACGCCTGACTGTTTTTCGTATTTTTTTGGTGGAGACGGGGTTTCACTGTGTTGGCCGGGCTGGTCTCCAGCTCCTAACCGCGAGTGATCCGCCAGCCTCGGCCTCCCAAGGTGCCGGGATGGCAGATGGAGTCTCGTTCACTCAGCGCTCAATGGTGCCCAGGCTGGGGTGCAGTGGCGTGATCTCGGCTCACTACAACCTCCACCTCCCAGCCGCGTGCCTTGGCCTCCCAAAGTGCCGAGATTGCAGCCTCTGCCCGGCCGCCGCCCTGTCTGGGAAGTGAGGGGCGTCTCTGCCTGGCCGCCCATCGTCTGGGATGTGAGGAGCCCCTCTGCCTGGCTGCCCAGTCTGGAAAGTGAGGAGCGTCTCTGCCCGGCCACCATCCTGTCTAGGAAGTGAGAAGCGTCTCTGCCTGGCCGCCCATTGTCTGGGATGTGAGGAGCCCCTCTGCCTGGCTGCCCAGTCTGGAAAGTGAGGAGCGTCTCTGCCCGGCCGCCATCCCATCTAGGAAGTGACGAGCGTCTCTTCCCGGCCGCCATCCCATCTAGGAAGTGAAGAGCGTCTCTGCCCGGCTGCCCATCGTCTGAGATGTGGGGAGAGCCTCTGCCCCGCCGCCCCGTCTGGGATGTGAGGAGCGCCTCTGCCCGGCCGCGACCCCGTCTGGGAGGTGAGGAGCGTCTCTGCCTGGCCGCCCCGTCTGAGAAGTGAGGAGCCCCTCCACCCGGCAGCCGCCCCGCCCGGGAGGGGGGTGGGGGGGGGTCAGCCCCCCGCCCGGCCAGCCACCCTGTCTGGGAGGGAGGTGTGGGGGGGGTCAGCCCCCTGCCCGGCCAGCCGCCCCGTCCGGGAGGGAGGTGTGGGGGGGTCAGCCGTCCCGTCCGGGAGGTGAGGGGCGCCTCTGCCCGGCCGCCCCTACTGGGAAGTGAGGAGCCCCTCTGCCCAGCCACCACCCCGTCTGGGAGGTGTACCCAACAGCTCATTGAGAACGGGCCATGATGACAATGGCGGTTTTGTGGAATAGAAAAGGAGGAAAGGTGGGGAAAAGATTGAGAAATCGGATGGTTGCTGTGTCTGTGTAGAAAGAGGTAGACATGGGAGACTTTTCATTTTGTTCTGTACTAAGAAAAATCCTTCTGCCTTGGGATCCTGTTGATCTATGACCTTACCCCCAACCCTGTGCTCTCTGAAACATGTGCTGTGTCCACTCAGGGTTAAATGGATTAAGGGCGGTGCAAGATGTGCTTTGCTAAACAGAAGCTTGAAGGCAGCAGGCTCGTTAAGAGTCATCACCACTCCCTAATCTCAAGTACCCAGGGACACAAACACTGCGGAAGGCCGCAGGGTCCTCTGCCTAGGAAAACCAGAGACCTTTGTTCACTTGTTTATCTGCTGACCTTCCCTCCACTATTGTCCTATGACCCTGCCAAATCCCCCTCTGCGAGAAACACCCAAGAATGATCAATAAAGAAAAAAAAAAAGAACATCACTAAAGCTAAAAAAAAAAAAAAAAAAAATCCTATAAAGTAGAAAAAAGTCAGTAACCCAAAAGAAAACTTATAAAGGCTATGAATAGACAGTTTACAAAAAATATAAATGACTCAGCTGGGTGTGGTGGCTCACTCCTGTAATCCCAGCACTTTGGGAGGCCAAGGCAGGTGGATCACAAGGTCAGGAGACCAGCCTGACCAACATAGTGAAACTCTGTCTCTACTAAAAATACAAAACTAGCCAGGCGTGGTGGCACATGCCTGTAATCCCAGCTTTTTGTGAGGCTGAGGCAGGATAACCGCTTGAACCCAGGAAGCAGAGATTACAGTGAGCCGAGATTGCACCATTGCACGCTAGCATGAGCAACGAGAAAAAAAAAATTCATATAATAAAATGAAAATAAAAAAATAAGTACAGAATAAAACAATGTTGTTTTTTGTTTTGTTGTTTTTTGAGACACAATTTTACTCTGTCACCAGGCTGGAGTGCACCTGTGCGATCTTAGCTCACTGCAACCTCCACCTCCTGGGCTCAAACAATCCTCGTGCCTCAGCCTCCCAAGTAGCTGGGATTACAGGACGCACCACCACACCCAGCTAATTTTCATATTTTTGTATTTTTAGTAGAGACGGGGTTTCACCACGTTGTCCAAGATGGTCTCAATCTCCTGACCTCGTGATCCACCCGCCTCAGCCTCCCAAAGTACTGGGATTACAGGCGTGAGCCACAGCACCCGGCCCAGTGATATAAATTTTTTAGTGAACGATGTTAACACAATCATAACATAAATACTGATTAATGATTTATTTAAAATCATGATATAAATTTGTTGGGGACCAGAGGAGGAAGTAATTTGTAGAAAGATACGTAGGAGAGCTAAGTTCTTATCTACTGTAGCAGCAAAATCAGTAACACCTAAAACTGCTCAATCAAGAAACTACAGTATATGCATTTTATTTAGAAATGTGGAGGTATGGCCAGGCATGGTGGCTCACGCCTGTAATCCCTGCACTTTGGGATGCCGAGGCACGCAGATCACGAGGTCAGGAGTTCGAGACCAGCCTGGCCAACATGGTGAAACCCCGTCTCTACTAAAAATACAAAAATTAGCCAGGTGTGGTGACACCCGCCTATAATCCCAGCTACTCAGAAGGCTGAGGCAGGGGATCGCGTGAACCCAGGAGGCGGAGGTTGCAGTGAGCCGAGATCGCGCCACTGCACTCCAGCCTGGGCGACAGAGTGAGACTCTGTCTCAAAAAAAAAAAAAAAAAAAAAAAAAAGAAATGTGGAGGTACATACCAAAAGAAATAGCTACAAAATTAGAAAGTTTCTTCTGGGGAGAAAGTCTTACAGATTTCTCACCTTAATAGGCCTTTTGGAATGATTTGATTTTTTTTTTAAGCTATAATCATAAATTTGACTTTTTTTAAAAAAAGGTTATGAACATGACAAGGAACCTACCTTAACTGCCATGAAAAGCTCTTCAAGCTGTGCCGTTTGCTCAGGTGAGAGCTATAAGCAAACAGAAAGGCTCAAGTGAACTATGGAACCTGTATAAAAACTAGAGAGATAGACATCTTGCCTTTAAGAAATCACAAACCTGCAGAGCCAGAATAGAGGTGACACTCACTGCCATTGTTTGCATCTTGGGGTTTTCATGCTTACAGAGCCATCTCATGACAAACTTGGCAGCATCAAACCTGAAAAGCAGTATTTATTTTTCTCACAATTATATATAAAGTTTGTGAAACTACACAGAAGAAATCATTTGGCATTCCCCAAGTAATCCTATAATGAAAACAGTCTTGGACTTTTAAATCCTCAGCTATGAAAACCAAGAGCATTTGGCAGAGAGAAGACCAGGCAGGGGATAGGAGAGTATGCAAATAAGAACGTAAGCAAAATACACAGAATTTACATAAAGATGAGCAAATCTAAGAAAAAATGTATTTATCATTCAGTTTCTACTATGATAGGTCTGAAAAAGAAAGGGAGTTTCCAGAGTGGTAGCAATTTGTAATCTGAGTAGTAGACAATGCTAAAATGCTGCAGCAAACATCACTCAGTTACAAAGTGACTGAGCCTAAACCTTGTATTCACAAATCAGGGGCTTTGCTCTTGTTAGCTTGTGCCTCATTTCTCTGCTCTTTTATGTCAACTATTATAAATGTTTTAAAACTTGTGAATCTGAGAGACTGCAAAGGCCTCAAATCCTTCTGGAATGGCTAGGATGATGATGATTTTCTAAATAATTAAAAAGTAAATTACTAATAAAATAATAATTACATAACAAAATGAATAAATTACTAATATTCTTTATAATAGCCTGTACTTAAACTAGGAATTAAGTACTTTACAGACACTATCTTATCTAATGCTGGTAAGAGTCACTATTTTACAAATGAGGAAACTTATAATAAGCAAAGATAATGGAAGGGCTAGATCTTGAGTCCAAGTATGTTTGGCTCTCGGAGCCTGTTCTTACCCACTATCCTATACTAGAATCACTTTAGGAGACAACATTTTCTAGTAGGGTACTTCTAATCACTTCTCTGTGGAAGATGCTCAACAGAACCTTCTCTCCAAACACCTTATCCCAGCCTTAATCAGGCCTCTGCATTTAATAACCAAAGGCCAACACCCCAGTCAAATGACCAAGTCTTATACTTGCCTGTCAAATGGAACATCCACAAGAATCCTGGAATTGGTTAAGGAGAGAAGACAATTCTTCTGTAACTTTTAGAGAATAAAGAAAAATAATTTTGAACAAATGTAACATTCCATTCTAAACAAAGATTCCATGTATTTGGAAGTATTACTAGTGAGCTTTTCTTATTGAGAGCTCATTTGTGTACCAGCATTAAATTTTCATTTAATGCTGTAACTGATGACTGCCATGCAGGAATGAAGACTTGAGTAGGATTTTCCAACTTTAAAAATAAGGTAGAAATAAATGAGGAAAACCACCTTCCTAACTGTATTTTTAAAAAATCAACTCCCTTGGCCGGGTGCGGTGGCTCATGCCTGTAATCCCAGCACTTTGGGAGGCAGAGGCAGGCGGATCACGAGGTCAGGAGATCGAGACCAACCTGGCTAGCACAGTGAAACCCCGTCTCTACTAAAAATACAAAAAATTAGCCGGGCGTGGTGGTGGGTGCCTGTAGTCCCAGCTACTCGGGAGGCTGAGGCAGGAGAATGGCATGAACCCGGGAGGCGGAGCTTGCAGTGAGCCAAGATTGTGCCACTGCACTCCAGCCTGGGCGACAGAGCGAGACTCCATCTCAAAAAAAAAAAAAAAAAAAAAACTCCCTTTACAAAGTACACATTTGTATTAGATTTCACAAATTTATACCCCTGTGTAACCACTCCTACAATCAAGATATAATACTTCTATCACCCCCAGAGAGTTCCATTGTCCCCTCTTCAAGTTAGTCTCAACCCTGTAAACCCTATCCTCGGAAAATTACAGTCATTATAGATTAGTTTTTTTAAGGTGTTATGCAAATGGAATCATGTACTTCTGCTCTTTTGAGTTTGGCCTGTTTTGCTCAACATATAACATTTTTGAGTTTCATCTACACTGCAGATATCAGTACTTCATCTCTGTGTGCCAAGTAGTGTTTCCCTAAATAGATTTATTACAATGCTTCTATTCGCCTGTTGTTGGACATTTGGGATGTTTCAAGTTTTTGGCAATAAATAAAGGTACCATGAATATTTGTGTAAATATCTTTATATGGATACATGCTTTCATTTATCTTCAGTAAATACCTAGGAGTGGAATGACTAGGTAGTTTATGAAGTGTATATTTAATTCCTAAAGAAACTACCAAAGTGTTCAAATCTTTTGATCATTTTTATAACTGATTTGTACTGTATTAACAAGTTGAGTTCTTTATATACTCTGAATGAAGTTGATTCTCATATATATATAATGAACATGTTTCCCAGTCTATCATCTACCTTTTCATTTTAAAAATGTGTGTTGTGGGGGAGGGAGCCAGGCATGGTGGCTCCCTCCTGTAATCCCAGCACTTTGGGAGGCCAAGGCAGTGGATCACCTGAGTTCAGGAGTTCGAGACCACCCTGGCCAACATGGTGAAACCACATCTATACTAAAAATACAAAATCAACCAGGCATGGTGGCATGCGCCTGTAATCCCAGCTACTCAGGAGGCTGAGGCAGGAGGCAGAGGTTGCAGTGAGCCAAGATCGTGCTACTGCACTCTAGCCTCGGCAACAGAATGACTCCGTCTCAAAAAAAATAATAAAAATAAAAATGAGTGTAGGCCAGGCGCGGGGGCTCACGTCTGTAATCCCAGAATTTTGGGACACCAAGGTGGGCAGATCATGAGGTCAGGAGATCGAGACCATCCTGGCTAACACGGTGAAACCCATCTCTACTAAAAATACAAAAAAAAAAAAAATTAGCCAGGCATGGTGGCGAGCGCCTGTAGTCTAAGATACTCGGGAGGCTGAGGTAGGAGAATGGCACGAACCCAGGAGGCGGAGGTTGCGGTGAGCCGAGATCATACCACTGCACTCCACCCTGGGCAACAAGAAGGAAAATCTCTCAAAAAAAAGAAAATTTTAGCCTCACTGCTTATCTATATTTCCTATTTTTTCTATAACAAACACACTCTTTTATCTATTCTCTTTCTCTAATAGGATGAAAAACCAGAACTAAATAATATCTATTTTTCACATATTTATCCTAAAGTTAGAAAACACAAATTGTCTGCCGTATGCCATGGCTCATGAGGCCAGGAGTTCGAGACCAGCCTGACCAACATGGTGAAACCCCGTCTCTACTAAAAATACAAAAATTAGCTGGGCGTCGTGGTGCACGCCTGTAATCCCAGCTACTCAGGAGGCTGAAGCAGGAGAATTGCTTGAACCCGGGAGGCAGAGGTTACAGTGAGCTGAGATCGTGCCACCGCACTCCAGCCTGGGCGACAGAGAGAGACTCTGTCTTTAAAAAAACAAAAACAAATTGTGCCACGGCACTCTGGCCTGGGCAACAGAGCTGAGACTATTAACAACAACAAAAAAAGCACAAACAAATATTCAATTGAAATTACCTGCTGGTAATGGGGGAAATTTTTCAGAGCCTTGAAAAGTAGACAGGTGACCTCTGACAACAGGCGAACAGGCATCCCCTTGGCCAGGCCCTGGCGTGTTAGGTTGAGAGCGCAAGCACTGGCTGTGAACTGCACTCGCAAATCCAATGGGTGATTCCTCATTCCTATAGCCACAAGCTGAAGATGAACTTGTTTTTAGTGCATATGATGCCAGTAACATTCTCTATGCTGTCTTGTGCATGTTTTGATTGGCACAAATCTTCGTTTATTGGGACAGGAACAGATTTTCCCTATCCTAAGCATTTATTCTTTAGAACATCAAAGTATTACAGCAAAGCCTTCTAATCCAAATGGAGTCACTAACTATCTGTGTGACTTTGGCCAAGTCACTTCCTTTCTCTAGACCTCTATTTCTTTATCTGTGAAATTAACTTCAGAATCATTTATTGAGCCTCACTCCATACAAGCTACTGTGACAGGTACTGCAGGGGACACAAACATGAGTGAGAGCTACTCGTTAGCATAAAGCCTTGTGACAGTAATAACACTGTGAGAAATGCCAAAAAATAAAATTGAAGAAAAGCACCATAAAAGACGCATCAATGAAGTGACATCTGAGGTAGTTATGGAAAGAGTGGCCATTTCTGGGAGAGAATCAGAAGAACTCATTGAGAGAGCACATTTAGGCAGAGTCTCAGGATTTACACAGGAGGAGATAAATGTAGGGGCAGAATGGACAGGGTATTCCTAGGGGAAAGAAAGTGATAAAGAAAAACAGAAAGTGGAAAAAAAGGATGGGATAAATCCACCAACAGAGGAGAAGAATTTGAAAAATGGTAAAACAAAACATTAGGTAACTTGAAGCTACACTGTGGAAGACCTAGAACACAAATGTAAAATGAGGGCATTGTTCCAAGCTTAGACCCCACCTGCTCTGTCATTCAAGGACACTGTGATCTGTTTCCTCTACTAGAGACAGACCTGGGATATACTTCTGCTATGGAAAATGACTTTTTTTTTGTATATTGCTAAATTGATTTTTCAGTTTCATTAGATTGCCATCATCTGCAATTTAGAAATCCAGAAACCAAAAGAAATGTGATTTTCACAAAAACTACACAATCCTGGTATGAAAAGAAATTTAGAACATCTAAATTCAGCCTAGGCAACACAGTAAGACCTCATCTTTACAGAAAAAACAAAAAAAACAGCCAGGCATGGTGGGGCATGCCTATAGTTCCAGCTACTCAGGAGGCTGAGGCAGGAGGATCACTTGAGCCCAGGAGGTCAAGGCTGCAGTTGGCTGAGATCATATCATGCCACTGCACTCCAGCCTGGGCAACAGAGTGAGACCCTGTCTCAAAGAACAACAAAAACAAACAAAAACAGAAGAACATCTAATTCAATCTCTTCCTTACAGATGGAAAAAAAGGTCGAGAATTTTTAATTTATTTTATTTTTTTGAGTTGGGATCTCGCTCTGTTACCCAGGCTGGAGTATAGTGGCACCATCATAGCTTACTGTAGCAGCCTCAAACTCCTGGGCTTGCCGGGCGCAGTGGCTCACGCCTGTAATCCCAGCACTTTGGGAGGCCAATGCGGGCGGATCACGAGGTCAGGAAATCGAGACCATCCTGGCTAACACGGTGAAACCCCATCTCTACTAAAAAATACAAAAAAGTAGCTGGGCGTGGTGACGGGCGCCTGTAGTCCCAGCTACTTGGGAGGCTGAGGCAGGAGAATGGTGTGAACCCGGGAGGTGGAGCCTGCAGTGAGCGGAGATCAAGCCACCGCACTCCAGCCTAGGCGACAGAGCGAGACGCCGTCTCAAAAAAAAAAAAAAACCAAAAAAAAATCCTGGGCTCACGTAGTCCTCCAATCTCAGTCACCCAAGTAGCTGGGACTATAGGCATGTACAACCATGCCCACCTAACTTTTTTTTTGTTTTTTGAGACAGAGTCTTGCTCTGTCGCCCAGGCTGGAGTGCAGTGGTATCATCTCGGCTCACTGCAACCTCCACCTCCCAGGTTCAAGTGATTCTCCTGCCTCAGCCTCCTGAGTAGCTGGGATTACAGGCACCTGCCACCACGCCTGGCTAATTTTTGTATTTTTAGTAGAGACGGGGTTCTACCATGTTGGCCAGGCTGTTCAAATTCCTGACCTCAGGTGATCTGTCCACCTCAGCCTCCCAAAAAGTGCTGGGATTACAGGCGTGAGCCATGGTGCCCAGCCAGAAGCTAATTTTTTTTCTTTTTCTAAATTTTTGTAGAGACAGGGTCTTACTAATGTTGATCAGGCTAGTCTTGAACTCCTGGCCCCAGGAAATCCTCCCATCTCGGCCTCCCAACCAAAGTGGTGGGATTACAGGCATGAGCCACCACAGCTGACCCAGAGTTTTTCTTTATACAGCTTTTGAGCTGTAAATAAAGTTAATCTCCCATGCTGTAAAAATATTTTTTTTTGAGTCTCGCTCTGTCACCAGGAGGGAGTGCAATGGCACAATCTCGGCTCACTGCAACCTCCACCTCCCGAGTTCCAGCGATTCTCCTGCCTCAGTCTCCCAAGTAGCTGGGACTATAGGAGTGCGCCACCACGCCCACCAAATTTTTGTATTGTTTTTAGTGGAGACGGGGTTTCACCATGTTGGCCAGGATGGTCTCAATCTCTTGACCTCGTGATCCACCCGCTTCGGCCTCCCAAAGTGCTGGGAAAATATCCACATTTTTAAGGAATTGCAAAAAATTACAAATAAAGACAAGGTTTTTCTTAAGACCTTTCATTGTTATGTTTCACTAAAAACAACAATTTTCAAATAAACACATGTATAAAAGAAAAATAAATAACTGAAGTTTTCTTTCCCAAGCCTCTTAATACTTGTAATTACATTTACAATAAAACGCATCCTTCCCTAAACCAAAGCTAAGTTTGGCTATATCGATAAAAGCAACTTTATGTCATTCACAAAATACTTCAAGTGGTAGATTTGGCCACCCTTAATTATTTTTATTTTGTTCTGCACTTGTTTTCTTTCAGAAAGCCACATGATCCTATTATTCCCTTACTTAGACCAAATTTTAACTGTTTTGATTCTAATTTATTCCACATAAATCCAGATGCTCAAAGCAAAAGACACTTTGGCAGCTAAGCTTAACATTCTTTGCTCTATGAGAGCACTTGACTCACTATAGAATAAAGCATATAATTTATTATATTCAGTGTGGTTCGTGAACAATTATTAATTGAACCAAGTTAAGAAGTAATAGTAAAAATTGTCTTCCTTCAATTACCTTTAAAATAGCAGGCATGGTTACCTCCATTGAAAATGTCTCTGTGAACAGCCTGTGGAGGGCTTCCTTCACAAAACATGATCTGTTCCTGTATCGGCTCAGTGCTTCTGAAATCTGACTCATACTGGCTCCTCCAGCAACCTGAAAATAAAGATGTTACCAAACAGGTTTCACCATTCATATTTTTTCACCATTCATTTTTAACCACAGGGTTTTTGGGGCATCCAGTGTTTAAGACAATAACAACAAATGTTCAATTAAATGTTCCAGGTGTTGGCCAGGCGCAGTGGCTCACGCCTGTAATCCCAGCACTTTGTGAGGCTGAGGCAGGTGAATCACCCGAGGTCAGGAGTAGAGACCAGCCTGAACAATATGGTGAAACCCCATCTCTACTAAAATTACAAAAATTAGCCAGGCGTGGTGGCAGGCGCCTGTAGTCCCAGCTACATGACAAAATATGCTGAGAGAAAGTAAAGATCTAAATAAATGCAGAGATATACAGGATTCAAGAATCAGGAGACTAGCGCCAGGCGTGGTGGCTAATGCCTGTAATCCCAACACTTTGGGAGTCTGAGGCTCAAGGGTTGCTTGAGCCCAGGACTACGAGACCAGCCTGGACAACATAGTGAGACCTCGCCTCTATTTTTTAAAACAACATGAGACTCAACGTTATTAAACGGCAATTTTCCTCAAACTGACCTACAGATTTAATGCAATCCCAACTAAAATACCAGTAGTCCTTTTTGTAGATATTGACAAGTTGCTTTTATGATTTATATGGAAATACAAAGAACCTAGAATAACCAAAACAATTATGAAACAGAATAACAGTTGAAGAAGTCACATTACCCAATTTCAAGACTTCATATAAAGTTATAGTAATCAAGACAGTAGGCCGGGGCACAATGGCTCAGGCCTGTAATCCCAATACTTTGGGAGGCCAAAGTGGGCAGATCACCTGAGGTCAGGAGTTCAAGACCAGCCTGGCCAACATGGTAAATCCTCATCTCTACTAAAAGTACAAAAATTAGATGGGCGTGGTGGTGCACGCCTATAGTCCCAGCTACTAGGGAGGCTGAGCCAGGAGAATCACTTGAACCCGGGAGGCAGAGGTTGCAGTGAGCCGAGATCACACCACTGCACTCCAGCCTGGGTGACAGACCGAGACTCTGTCTCAAAAAAAAAAAAAAAAAAAAAAAAAAAAGGCAATACACAAACAGATAAAAATAAAGAGCCCAGCTGGGCGTGGTGGCTCACACCTGTAATCCTAGCACTTTGGAAGGATGAGGCAGGCAGATCACGAGGTCAGGAGATCGAGACTATCCTGGCTAACACGGTGAAACACCATCTCTACTAAAAATACAAAAAATTAGCCAGGCGTGGTGGTGGGTGCCTATAGTCCCAGCTACTCTGGAGCCTGAGGCAGGAGAATGGCGTGAACCCGGGAGGCGGAGATTGCAGTGAGCAGAGATCGTGTCACTGCACTCCAGCCTGGGCGACAGAGCAAGACTCCGTCTCAAAAAAAATAAAAAATAAAGAGCCCAGTAACAGACTCACACATATACGGACACCCGATTTTCAACAAAGATGCCAAGTTTATCCAAGGGGGGAAGAGATAATCCTTGGTGGTGAGCCAAGATCGGACCACTGCACTCCAGCCTGGGCGACAGAGCAGGACTCGACTGTCCCAAAAAAAATTTGGGGATCTCAGCTCACAGCAGAGGTTGCAGTGAGCCAAGATTGTGCCACTGCACTCCATCCTGAACAACAGAGTGACTCTGTCTCAATAAAAAATTAATTAATTAATTAATTAAAATACAACAATTGCTAACTTCAAATCAAAAGAATAAAATGTTAACACAACTAATGAGTATACAAATCACTTTATTCTCTTCCCCTAGGAAGAACTAAGGAGGTATTATTATAAAGAAAGAGTTACTTTAAAACAACAGCTCTGGGCCAAGCATGGTGGCTCATGCCTGTAATCCCAGCACTTTGGGAGCCCAAGGCAGGTGGATCACCTGAGGTCTGGGAGTTCGAGACCAGCCTGACCAACATAGTGAAACTCTGCCTCTACTAAAAATACAAAAAATTAGCCAGGTGTGGTGGTGCACACCTGTAATCCCAGCTATTCGGGAAGCTGAGGCAGGAGAATCGCTTGAACCCGGGAGGCGAAGGTTGCAGTGAGCCGAGATTGCGCCATTGCACTCCACCCTGGGCAACAAGAGCACAACTCAGTCTCCAAAAAAAAATAATAATAATAATCGGGCCGGGCGCAGTGGTTCATGCCTATAATCCCAGCACTTTGGGAGGCCGAGGCAGGCGGATCACCTGAGGTTAGGAGTTCGAGACCAGCCCGGCCAACATGGTGAAACCCCGTCTCTACTAAAAATAAAAAACTAGCTGGGCATGGTGGCACGTGCCTGTAGTCCCAGCTACTCGGGAAGCCGAGGCAGGAGAATCACTTGAACCCACTATATCTTCTTTTTTTTTTGAGACTGCGTTTCGCTTTTGGCCAGGCTGGAGTGCAGTGGTGCAACCTCCACCTCCCAGGTTCAAGTGATTCTCCTGCCTCAGCCTCCCAAGTAGCTGGGACTACAGGCGCCCGCCAACACACCGGCTAATTTTTGTATTTTTAGTAGAGACCAGGTTTCACCATGTTGGCCAGGCTGGTCTCGGACTCCTGACCTCAAGTGATCTGCCCGCCTTGGCCTCCCAAAGTGCTGGGATTACAGGTGTGAGCCACCATGCCCAGCCTGTATCTTAATATTATATTCTCACGTGTGGCCAGGCACAGTGGCTCATGCCTATGATCCCAGCACTTTGGGAAGCCGAGGCAAGCAGATCACCTGAGGTCAGGCGTTCGAGACCAGCCTGACCAACATGAAGAAACCCAATCTCTATTAAAAATACAAAACTACTCCATCTCAAAAAATAATAATAATATTCTCACAACCTTCCACATAGTAGGTACATAATAATCATTAATTATTAAAAAAGCTCTTTAAGGATTTTTTTATCTGTCTCTGTAACCCTAATACCTAGTAAAAAGTCTGGTCTATAGCACGAGTTTAATAATGTTCTAAACAAATGAAACAAAACTTATTCAGATAAGAACAAACCCTCAAGCCTTGCTTTGTAGTAAAGAAGTCAGAAGAGCCAGCATCCGTGGCCAATAGTCCCACAAATTGCATGGCAGGCCGCAGTCGTATAAACAGTTCTACAGCTTCATCAGTGATGCAATTGCCCCCAGAAATATCCAATGACACAACATTGGGCAGGATATCCTTCTGCTGTAGCAAATGAAAAGCTAGGTCTGATTTGAGTTGCCTGTGATCAGAAATATCAAGGTGAAGCAGACATTTAAGTTCTCTAATGACTGCAAGAATTTGTGATTTGGTCATGGCCAGGCATTTCAGATAGTGCATTGTGAGAGACTTCAATCGATCCTTACAGGTAAGCAGTGCAGAAATATCAGTGACTAGAGTATTAGAGATATCTAAGCTTTCCAGTCTTGGTAACTGAGAAACATTAGCCAGGTCTTCAGTAT
The DNA here is from genome assembly GCF_000001405.40 of Homo sapiens. NCBI lineage: Eukaryota > Metazoa > Chordata > Mammalia > Primates > Hominidae > Homo > Homo sapiens. The sequence continues at coordinate 52,857,321 of NC_000001.11, read as the reverse complement.
GAAAACAAACATTAAAAACACTTAAAATGCGAAGACCAGTGAGCTGACTAAAGAACAGTAATCTTGAATTTTGAGGGATGCTTGTCGAGTCTAACAGGAGACACTGGAGGTTTTGCTGGATCCACCTATTGCTGCAGAGTCCACTTATGATGTCTGGAACTGGGAGGTCAGCGTGCACTGCAGTAGCATTCAGTTCAATGAGCTTATGACGGCAGAAGGCTTTTATGAATGCAGCTGTAGAGATTTTAGCTTTTTGGATATTGACCAGCTTCAGTTTCATTTGGTTGCCTCGGAAAATGCTGGCTGTTCTGTCAGTCAGCTTGCCTATGAAAGAACCAGAACCAACTTGTAATGACAACTAGATCTCATGTCTTTCCAGGATAAAATGTGGCAAAGAATTAAGACAGATGTTAATAATAACAATAATGACAACATTTACTGCTCTGTGCTAGCATTGTTCTAAACTCCTTTAATAAGATTATTATCTCATGTATTCTTTGCATTAATACTATAAAGGAATTATTGTTACTACTACTATGTAGCTGAGGAAACTGAAACTTGAATAGGTTAAGTAATTTATCCAAGGTCACCATCAGAATCAGGAGTCAACCCCAGTTTGGCTGTAGAGCCCAAAATTTTATCTACAGTAACCTTGCTCACAGAAAGGAAGAACAAAATAAAATAGGTAGATAAGTACAGGATATACAATATACAAGTAGCACTACTAATATTATTTTTAACCAAATTAGTAGATAATATTTGACAAGTCACTTACCTCTCTGGGCCTCATTTTCCTCATCTGTAAAACGAATGGGTTGTCCTATTTTTCATTTACTACACATATTTTTTTTTTTTTTTTTTTTTTTGAGATGGAGTCTTGCTCTGTCACCCAGGCTGGAGTGCAGTGGGGGCTCACTGCAACCTCCGCTTCCCAAGTTCAAGCGATTCCCTTGCCTCAGCCTCCCAAGTAGCTGGGACTACAGGCACTGCACCTGGCCTACTACACATCTTCTATGGTGAGATTCCATGTTATGTAACAGGCACGTAAGGTAATCAGACACCTGTGACCACAAGGAATTCAGTATAGGGAGGCATACCAGGTAAATACCAACACCATAAGTCATTAAAGAAATGCAAATTAAAAGCACAACAGATACTATTTCACATCCACTAGGATGGCTATAATCAAAATGTCAGATGAGTCTTGGTGAGAACGTGGAGAAATTAGAACCCTTGGACACTGCTGATGGGAATGTAAAATAGTACAGCCACAAACAATAGTCTGGCAGTTCCTCAAAAAGATAATGAGTTACCATTTGATCCAGCAATTTCACTCAGAGAAATGAAAACTTATGTCCACATAGAAACTCTTACACATTCCTGCAGATTCATATGGAGCAGAGAAAGTTTAGAATAAATTTTTTAAGTTTAAAAATAAAATTTGTACACATATCTTTATGGTAGCATATTATTCATAATAGCCCAAAAGTGAGAACACCACAAATGTCCATCAACCGAAAAACAGATAAATACAATGTGGTATGTCCATACAGTAGAATATGCGACTATAAAAAGGAACGAGTACAGATATACATGTTGCACAATGTGAGCCTTAAACATGCTAAATGAAAAAAGTTCGGCACACAAGGCCACATATTGGATGATTTAATTTATATTAAATGTTCAGAATAGGCAAATCCATACATAGAGATGGAAAGTAGACTTGTGGTTGCTTAGGGCTGGAGGGATGCGGGAAAAGGGAAATAAAATCTAACGGGCACAAGGTTTCTTTCTGAGGTGATGGAAAGTTTGAGGTTCTAAAATTGATTATGGGCCAGGCACGGTGCCTCACGCCTGTAATCCCAGCACTTTGGGAGGCCGAGGCAGGCAGACCACTTGAGGTCAAGAGTTTGAGACCAGCCTGGCCAACATGGTGAAACCCCATCTCTACTAAAAATACAAAAATTATGACCGGACATGGTGACTCACATCTGTAATCCCAGGTTATAAATAAATAAATAATAAAATGCCCTTTTTTTCCTTTATTTTTTTAGTGGAGTTCTTTAAGCCCAGCTACAATGGGAGGTAAGACTCATAACCATAATGAAAAGAATGGTAAACAAGACTACAGCAAGAGCATTTTGAAAAAGCTAGAGAGCAGGCCGGGCACAGTGGCTCATGTCTGTAATCCCAGCACTTTGGGAAGCCAAGGCAGACGGATCATCTGAACTCAGGAGTTCAAGACCAGCCTGACCAAAGTGGTGAAACCCCATCTCTACTAAAAATACAAAAATCAGCCAGGTGTGGTGGGCGCCTGTAATCCCAGCTACTCAGGAGGCTGAGGCAGGAGAATCGCTTAAACCCAGGCGGAGGCTGCAGTGAGCAAAGATTGTGCCACTACACTCCAGCCTTGGCGACAAGGGTGAAAATCCGTCTCAAAAAAAAAAACAAAGCTAGAGAGCAGATGGATGAGTGATAACTTTACGTAAGTGAAGAGTGGAAAACCAAGTCAATAGCAGGGCTAGCCTAGAAGACAATTTCCATCATGGAATCCCAGAAAGAGTGAGTCTCAACTTCCAGACAAATGAAATGGAAATACTTTGTGAGAATCACAATAGAAATTGTGTGTAAAAGTGCTTTTCAAATAGTAAAGTACTGCAAGAGCTGACTTTAGAGAAGCCTTATCACTACCTTGCCAAGTCATCACCCTGAGAAATCGCTCGGCTACTTCCTGAGGGAAACTCCAATGCTCCGGAAGGCACAGTGTTCCATCAGGTCTTTCAGAACACAATTTCTCCAGGTTAGCAATCAGGACATTCAGGCAGATGTTGACCAAAGTGTAGGGAGATGCCTCTTCCTAGCAAACAAAACCCCAAACAAACTTTGTTAGAATACATCTGCAACAATTCAACATAAAACTGGTCATGCCATACCTATTCCACTTGATGAGAGTATCTGAAGATACATCCTTCATACTCTAGTAATGATTTATATGTAACGAAACCACCTCATTCCTACTGTTAACTGAATGGAAAATTTAATCTGTTGTCCTTTCTGTTGTACAGCTGTCCCTCAAAATCTGTAGGAGATTGGTTCCAGAACTCTCTGACCAGTATCCACAGATGCTCAAGTCTCCTTATATAAAATGGTGTAAGGTTTGCATATAACCTATGCAGACATTCTCATATACTACAAATCATTTCTAAATTACTTATAAACACTAATACAGTATAAATCCTTTATACTGTATTGTTTACATAATGACAAGAAAAAAGTCTGTACATGTTCAATACAGATGCAGGTATTTTTCCCCAAATATTTTCCATCCAAAGTTGGCTGAATTCACATATACTGAACCCGTAGTCAGAGAGAACATACTGTATCTTGAAAAACATTAAGTTCTTTTTTTCTTTTTTTTGAAACAGGGTCTCACTATCGCCTAGGCTGGAGTGCAGTGGCACAATCACAGCCGAATGCAACTTTGACTTCCCCAGTCAGGTGATCCTTCCACTCAGCCTCCTGAGTAACTGGGACTACAAGCCCATGCCACCATGCCCAGCTAATTTTTTGTAGGTTTATTATAGAGTCCCACTTTGTTGTCCAAGCCAGTCTCGAAACTCATGGTATCAAGAGATCCTCCCACTTCAGCTTCCCCAAGTGCTGGATTACAGGCATGAGCCACCACACCCGGCCCCAATATTAAGTTCTCTTAACCCTTTACTTATCACCTGTTCTGTGCTAGCCACTGAAAATACAGAGGTGGGTAAGACATGGTTCTAGTCCCTTTAAAGCTAAAGTTTAGTGAAGAATACAAACAAGAAATCTGACAATTTCAATGCAACATTTGGGACACTCCAAGCAGAGATTACATGGTCATTCACTCAAAAAATATGTATTCATTGATTATCATGTGTCTATTCTCAAAACTGTTCACAACCTCAAACAGTGATACAGTCAAGGTCCTATGAAAGTGTAAGAAACTGACAGTAAGGTGAGGCTATAAAGGCATGTACAGATAGTCCCTGACTCATGATTTTTGGAATTACAACGGTATAAAGTAGAAACCATACTTCAAATTTTGAGTTTTGATCTCTTCCCAGGCTAGTGACATAATATGATACTCTTTCAATGCTGGTCAGCAGAGTGAGCTGCAGCTCCCAGTCAGCCACACGATCACAAGGGTAAACAACCAATACTTGATATCTTCTTGAACACTATGCCTGCTAAACCATCAACAAGTGTCAATGGGCTCCAATGCTTAGAAGAGCAACTGGTGACCCTGTTGATGTAGCTTCTCCATAATCCAGCAATTAACTTTTAGTTCAATGCTTCAAACATTCTTCAGGCCCAGAGTGCTTTCAACTGTGTATGTTTACAGTGAGTACACATATGACCACTGTTTTTCACTGTCAGTATCAATAAATTCCACGAGATATTCAACACTATAATGAAATGGGCTTTGTGTTAGATGATTTTCCTCGACTGTAGGCTAATATAAGAGTTCTGAGCACATTTAAGGTAGGCCAGACTAACCTATATTTGATAGTTTAGGTGTCTTAAATGCATTTTGAACTTAGAATATTTTAAATTTACAAGGGTTTTATTGGTATATAACCCTATCATAAGGCAAAAAATGCCTTTCTCCTCTACAAAATAGAAACGCTGGCCAAGCGTGGTAGCTGTTAATTCGTGCATTTTGGGAGGCCAAGGCGGGTGGATCACTTGAGGTCATGAGTTTGAGACCAGCCTGGCCAACATAGCAAAACCCTGTTCTAAAAATAAAAAATTAGCCAGGCATGGTGGCACATGCCTATCTATAGTCCCACCTACTCAGGAGCCTTGAGGCAGGAGAATCCCTTGAACCCAGAAGGCAGAGAGTGCAGTGAGCCAAGATAGCATCACTGCACTCCAGCATGGGTGACAGACTCTACCTCAAAAAAAAAAAAAAAAAAATTTGCTCTAAAATTAACTGTCGGGCCAGGTGCAGAGGCTCACTCCTGTAATCACACTACTTTGGGAAGATGAGGTGGGTGGATCATGAGGTCAGGAGTTCGAGACCAGCCTGGCCAACACGGTGAAACCCCATCTTCACCAAAAATACAAAAACTGGCCAGGCACGGTGGCTCACGCCTGTAATCCCAGCACTTTGGGAGGCTGAGGTGGGTGGATCATGAGGTCAGCAGTTCAAGACCAGCCTGGCCAACATAGTGAAACCCCGTCTCTAATAAAAATACAAAAAATTAGCCGAGAGTGGTGGCAGGCGCCTGTAATCCTAGCTACTCGGGAGGCAGAGGCAGGAGAATCACTTGAACCCGGGAGGCGGAGGTTGCAGCGAGCCAAGATTGTGCCACTGTACACCAGCCCGGGTGACAGTGCAAGACTCCATCATTAAAAAAAAAAAAAAAAATTAGGAAGGCATGGTGGCGGGTGCCTGTAATCCCAGCTACTCAGGAGGCTGAGGCAGCAGAATCACTTGAACGAGGGAGGTGGAGGTTGCAGTGAGCTGAGATCACACCACTGCACTCCAACCTGGGCAACAGAGTGAGACTATATCTCAAAAAATAAAAAATAAGTAAGATAAAATAAATAAATTAATTAAAATAAATAATAAAATAAACTGTGTGCCGGGCATGGTGGCTCACGCCTATAATTCCAACACTTTGGGAGGCAGAGGCAGACTGATCATTTGAGGTTAGGAGCTCGAGACCAACCTGGCCAACATGTTGAAACCCTGTCCCTGCTATAAAAATACCAAAATTAGCCAGGTGTGGTGGCTCGTGCCTGTAATCCCAGCCACTCGGGAGGCTGAGGCAGGAGAAACGCTTGTACCCGGGAGCCAGAGGTTGTAGTGAGCCCAGATCGCGCCACTACATTCCAGCCTGGGTGACAGAGTGAGACCCTGTCTCAAAAATAATAAGAAGAATAAATTGACTGTGGTAATGGTTACATACATATGCACACATATATGAAAAGTCTCCTGGTTGGGCACAGTGGCTCACACCTGTAATCCCAGCATCAAAGGCCAAGGCAGGTAGATCATGTGAGCTGAGGAGTTCAAGACCAGATGTGGAAACATGGCAAAACCCCGTCTCCACAAAAAATACGAAAAAATTAGCCAGATGTGGTAGGGTGTGCCTGAGTCCCAGCTACCTGGGGAGCTGAGGCAGGAGAATTGCTTGAGCCCAGGAGGTCAAGGCTGCAGTGAGGCAATGAGCCGTGATTGCGCCCCTCCACTCCAGCCTGGATGACAAAATGAGACCCTGTCTCAAAAAAAAAAATTTTAAGTCTCTGAATTGCAAAATATATATAGACACTCAAAGTAGCATCCATAAAGTTCAGCTTACAATAAAATATCAGACATGAGAAGCAGGAAAAAAAAGTCAATAGAAACAAATCCCAAAATAACTGAAATAACCTAACTAACAGACAGGAATTTAAAATGGCTATTATAATTCGTGGGTTTAAAACAGAACATGAACACAATAAAAGAACAAATATGGAATCAACAGAAAAACAGAAGATATGAAAAAGACCAAAAGGAAACGTCTAGAGTTGAAAAAATACACCAGGCCAGACATAGTGGCTCATGCCTATAATCCCAGAGCTTTTGGAGGCCGAGGCGGGCAGATCACAAGGTCAGGAGATACAGACCATCCTAGCCAACATGGTGAAACCCCGTCTCTATTAAAAATACAAAAATTAGAAGTTGGGCGCGGTGGCTCACGCCTATAATCCCAACACTTTGGGAGGCTGAGGCAGGCGAATCACAAGGTCAGGAGTTCGAGACCAGCCTGGCCAACGTGGTGAAACCCCGTCTCTATTAAAAATACAAAAAATTGGCCGGGTGTAGTGGCAGGCACCTGTAATCTCAGCTATTTGGGAGGCTGAGGCAGGACAATAGCTTGAACCTGGGATGCAGAGGTTGCAGTGAGCTGAGATCACTCCACCGCACGCCAACCTGGGCAACAGAATGAGACTCCATCTCAAAAAAAAAAAAAAAAATAGCTGGGCGTACCGGTGCTTGCGCCTGTAAGTCCCAGCTACTTTGGAGGCTGAGGCAGGAGAATCGCTTGAACCCAGGAGGCGGAGGTTGCAGTGAGCTGAGATTGTGCCACTGCACTCCAGCCTGGCAACTATGTCTCAAAAGAAAAAAACAGCAGATAGGATTATCAGCAGATCAGAACTACAAAATAAGAGATCACTAAAGATGAAGTCAGGACAATAGAAATGACTCAAACTGAAACAGAAAAAGGTTGGGAAAAAAGTTGAAAACCATGGTGCCCCAATTAAGGCACTTCTTAACCAATCTTAAGCAGCCTGTTAGAAATGTATAATTGAGGCCAGGTGTGGTGGCTCACGCCTGTAATCCCAGCACTTTAGGAGGCCGAGGTGGGCGGATCACGAGGTCGGCAGATGGAGATCATCCTGGCTAACACGGTGAAACCCCGTCTCTACTAAAAACATTTTAAAAATTAGCTGGGCGTGGTGGCCGGTGCCTGTAGTCCCAGCTACTCGGGAGGCTGAGGCAGGAGAATGGCATGAATCCGGGATGTGGAGCTGGCAGTGAGCCGAGATCGCGCCACTGCACTCCAGCCTGGGCGACAGAGGGAGACTCCGTCTCAAAAAAAAAAAAGAAATGTATAATTGAAACTCTAGGCCAGCACAGTGGTTCACGCCTGTAATCCCAGCACGCTTAGAGGCCGAGGCGGGCAGATCACTTGAGGCCAGGAGTTCAAGACCAGTCTGGCCAACATGGTGAAACTCCATCTCTACTAAAAATACAAAAAAATTAGCTGGGCATGTTGGCGCACACCTGTAAATCCCAGCTACTCAGGAGGCTGAGACATGAGAGTCCCTTGAGCCCGGGAGGCAGGAGGCTGCAGTGAGCGGAGATCGCGCCACTGCACTCCAGCCTGAGCGACAGAGCAAGACTTGGTCTCAAAAAAAGTAAAGAGGCTGGGCGCGGTGGCTCACACCTGTAATCCCAGCACTTTGGGAGGCTGAGGTGGGCAGATCACAAGGTCAGGAGATTGAGACCATCCTGGCAAATATGGTGAAACCCCATCTCTACTAAAAATACAAAAATCAGCTGGGCGTGGTGGCACGCGCCTGTAATCCCAATCCCAGCTACTCAGGAGGCTGAAGCAGGAGAACCTCTTGAACCAGGGAATCGGAGGTTACAGTGAGGTGAGATCACGCCACTGCATTCCAGCTGGGCGACAGAGTGAGACTCGGTCTCAAAAAAAAAGAAAAAGAAGTAAAGAAACTCCAAAAGAATTGGGAAAGAATATTTTAACAAAAAATAATAAGGACAACGTCTTATACTTGGAACCTATAAAACTGCTCTGTGGTTTAACTATATTGAAATATAGTTAATTAATTCACTGGGTGCAAAGAATAGTAAAATAAATTTGATGTCTCCATTTTTTTTACTTTTAATTTTATTTTTATTTTTGAGACAGAGTCTAGCTCTGTTGCCCAGGCTGCAGTGCAGTAGCATGATCTCGGCTCACTGCAACCTCCACTTCCCAGGTTCAAGCCATTCTCGTGCCTCAGCCTCCCAAGTAGGTGGGACTACAGGCATTCACCATCACATCTGGCTAATTTTTGTATATTTAGTAGAGATTCTCCAGGCTGGTCTTGAACTCCTGGCCTCAGGTGATCCACCCACCTCAGCCTCCCAACGTGTGGGAGAAACCCCGTCTCTACTAAAAATACAAAGTGTGGGAGGCTGAGGTGGGAGGACTGCTTGAGACCAGAGCTCAAGACTGGCCTGGGCAACAAAGCAAGACCCAGTCTGTCTTTATTTTATGTCATTTTATTTTTTTAAGTTCAAATCAGATGCAAGATATAAACCCACTGATTTCGGAAGCAAAACAGACCCAAAGCAGAATAAACAAAAAAAGCACAATATGGGAAACTTCTAAAAACCAACAATGAGAAAAAGCTTATGACGGGGGAGTGGACACAGAAGAAAAAAAAGGTATGATCACTGAATTGTCACCAAAACAAAGCATGTCGGGCGAGTGCAGTGGCTCACACCTGTAATCCCAGCACTTTTGGAAGGCCAAGGTAGGCGGATCACCAGGTCAGGAGTTTAAGACCCACCTGGCCAACATGGTGAAACCCCGTCTCTACTAAAAATACAAAAATAGCTGGGCATGGTGGCTCACGCCTGTAATCCCAGCACTTTGGGAGACTGAGGCAGGCGGATCACGAGGTCAGGAGATTGAGACCATCCTGGCTAACATGGTGAAACCCCATCTCTACTAAAAATACAAAAAATTAGCCAGGCATGATGGCAGGCGCCTATAGTCCCAGCTACTTAGGAGGCTGGGGCAGGAGAATGGCGTGAACAAGGGAGGCGGAGCTTGCAGTGAGCTGAGATCGCGCCACTGCACTCCAGCCTAGGCGACAGAGCGAGACTCCATCTCAAAAAAATAAATAAATAAATAAATAAATAAATAAATAAATAAATAAATAAATTAGCAAGGCGTGGTGGCACACACCTGTAGTCCCAGCTACTCGGAAGGCTGAGGCAGGAGAATTACCTGAACCCAGGAGGCAGAGGTTGCAGCGAACCGAGATCGCGCCACTGCACTCCAGCCTGGAAACAGAGCGAGACTCCGTCCCAAGGAAAAAAAAAAAAAAACAAAGTACAGTACAGGGGAAACACTGTCAGATCCATGAAAACATCTTTCAAATATGAAAATGAAATATATTCTCAGATAAACAAAAGCAGAGACAACTTGTCGCCAGCTCATATGCTATGAGAAATATTAAAAGTTCTTTAAGCTAAAAAAAAAAAAAAATGACAGGCTGGGCACGGTGGCTCATGTCATGCCTGTAATCCTAGCACTTTGGGAGGCCAAGGCGGGCCGATCACCTGAGGTCGGCAGTTCGAGACCAGCCTGACCAACATGGAGAAACCCTGTCTGTACTAAAAATACAAAATTAGGCCAGGTACCGTGGTTCACACCTGTAATCCCAGCACTTTGGGAGGCCAAGGTGGGTGGATCACAAGGTCAGGAATTCAAAACCAGCCTGATCAACATGGTGAAACCCTGTCTCTACTAAAAATACAAAAATTAGCAGAGTGTGGTGGTGCACACCTATAATCCCAGCTATTCAGGAGGCTGAGGCAGGAGAATCGCTTCAACCTGGGAGGCGGAGGCTGCAGTGAGCCGAGATCGAGATCACGCCACCGCACTCCAGCCTGGGCAACAACAGCGAAACACCTGAGGTCGGGAGTTTGAGACCATCCTGGCTAACACAGTGAAACCCCGTCTCTACTAAAAATACAAAAATTAGCCAGGCGTGGCGGCGTGTACCCGTAGTCCCAGCTGCTGGGGAGACTGAGGCAGGAGAATGGCGTGAACCCGGGAGGCGGAGCTTGCAGTGAGCTGACATTGCGCCACTGCACTCCAGCCTGGGCGACAAAAAAAAAAAAAAAAGTAAATGTGAACAGACAAAAATGTAATTTTAAAGCCTAGAGATGTGGCTCCCAAGCTTTTTGGTCCTAGTACCACTCTACACTCTTAAAAATTGGGTTATATCTATCAACATATACCACGTTAAAAATTAAATCTTAGCAATCTTTAAAATACACATTAATTCACATAGAAAAAATTAAAAACTCAGAGCATGTTAACATAGATAACATTTTTTAAAATAGCCATAATTGGCCGGGCGCGATGGCTTGCCTGTAATCCTAGTACTTTGGGAGGCCAGGGTGGATGGATCATGAGTTCAACCAGCCTGGCCAACATAGTGAAACCCCATCTCTACTGAAAATACAAAAATTAGCCGGGAATGGTGGCGTGCACCTATAGTCCCAGCTACTCAAGAGGCTGAAGCAGGAGAATCGCTTGAACCTGGGAGGCGGAGGTTGTGGTGAGCCAAGATCATGCCACTGCACTCCAGCCTGGGCAACAGAGTGAGACTCTGTTTCAAAATATATATATATATATATATATATATATATATATATATATATATATATATATATATAAAAATTTAAAAAGCCATGATTTCCAAAAGAACTAAAAACTAGCTTAGTTGAGAACAGCAGCACTGTTTTACATTTTTGCAAATTTCATTAACAGGCAGGCTAATGGAAGAGATGGGATTCTGGAGGTCCTGGGGTCCACACTTTGAAAACAGCTACCTTTGAGTGACTATTAAAGAGTAAGAAGGAGAAAGGGAGAGAAAGAGAGAACTACTAAGTCAAAAGAGAACATGGTATTTTCTAAATAATTCAAAAGAAAAGGAAAAAACAAGACAAATGGAACATATATAGCAACACAGTAGACTTAACCCCAACAATACTGATAATTATATTTATTCTAATTAAAAAGCACAGAAAGGCCGGGCACAGTGGCTCACATCTGGAATCCCAGAACTTTGGGAGGCTGAGGCCAGAAGTCTGAGACTAGCCTGGGCAACAAAGCAAGACTCAGCCTCTACAAAAAATAAAAAACAGCCAGGCATGGTGGTGCACACCTATAGTCTAGCTACTAGGGAGGCTGAGGAGGGAGGATGAGCTATGATCACAGACTGCACTCAAACCTGGGCAACAGAGTGAGACTCTCTCCTCCCTGCAAAAATCAATTTAAAAAATACATTTTTAATTAAAAAAATTAAAATGTTTACTTTCCTGTCCTCTGTAAAAAAAAAAAAAAAAAAATTCAAAAATAAAGGCTGGGTGCAGTGGTTCACGCCTGTAATCCCAGCACTTTGGGTGGTCAAGATGGGCAGGTCGCTTGAGGCCAGGAGTTCAGGACCAGCCTGGGCAACATGGTGAAACCCCGCCTCTACAAAAATACCTGTCTCTACAAAAATACAAAAATTAGCCAGGAAATGGTGGCACACACTTGTAGTCCCAGCTACTCAGGAGGCTGAGGCGAGAGAATCGCTTGAACCCGGGAGGCGGAGGTTGCAGTGAGTCAAGATTGTACCACTGTACTCCAGCCTGAGTGACAGAGCAAGGCTCCGTCTCAAAAAAAAAAAAAAAAGCACAGACCATTAGGCTACATACAAATGCAAGATTGCTGTTTACAAGAGACACAATTTAAAACATACAGTTGTTAAACACTAGACACAAGGAAACTGGAGTGACTACACTGTCAGAAAAAATGAGGCTTCTGGACAAGAATATTGCTAGAGATCAAGATGGACATTTCTTAATGATAAAAGGGCCAATTCATCAAGCAGAATTAACATTCCTAAATGCATACGAACTTACTAATAGCTTCAAAATTCATGAAGCAAAAAATTGAAAAGATATGGGAGGCCAAGGCAAGAGGATTGCTTGAGCCGGAGTTCAAAGACCAGCCTGGACAATAGGGAAACCACCGTCTTAATTAAAAATAAAAAATTAAAAGGATAAAAAGAAAATAATATGACTGTGTAGAAAATCTTTAAAAATTTACAAAAAAATAAAGAAAACTAAGTGACTTTGGCCAGGCTGTAGGATACAAGATCAATATACAAAAATCAATTTTATGTATTCTTATATATACACAAGGTAATATAAAGTTTTAAAAAATATTTGCTGGCCGGGCACGGTGGCTCATGCCTGTAATCCCAGCACTTTGGGAGACTCCGTCTCAAAAAAAAAAAGTATTTACAATAGTATCAAGAACAGGAACAAATTTAACAAAATGTGAAAAGACTTTTATATTAAAAACTACAAAACATTGCTAAGAGAAGATTAAAATGACATAAATGGAAATAATTGTATGTATGTTTCATAGGGAAAAAAGTATTCATGCAATATTTGTGTAATTAAAATAATTAATTAAAAATAAATAAAATCCTTAACAAAGAAAATGAGATATACCCAGAACTAGACAGAGAAAATGGGTGTGAGTACTTTTGTAAAGAAATCTTGTTTCGATTCCAAGCAGGAAAAAATGTGCTTGAGACGATGCTAGCACACACGTAAAAAATCCAAGTTTTCCATTAATTACAAATCCACAAATTATATAACTTTTCTAAATGAGTTCAAAAGATTACAGGCTAGATCACTGCAGGGCACAAAGTCTTCCAACAAGGCGTTAATATGTAAAGCACAACCTTAATCAGAACATTTCCTTCTCTCCATAAATTTTGGGTCGAGCCTTCACCACTCAATCCCTCGAGTTCCCCAAGGGTGGCCCTTGGCGGGTTTTTTCCAAAGTGGGGCCAGAGGTCTGAACACCTGAGGTGAAATTCAAGTTCACGAGCAAGTCAACTAAATTTCAGAGCTCCCAACTTCCCTACATCGGTAAAATGGAGCCTAGCAAAGCCTACAAAAGACTAGGGGTTACCAGACTGCTTTAGAAAGGCGACACTTGGCCGGGCACGGTGGCTGACGCCTGTAATCCCAGCACTCTGGGAGGCCGAGGCGGGTAGATCACGAGGTCTGGAGTTCGAAACCATCCTGGCCAACATGGTGAAACCCCGTCTCTACTAAAAATACAAAAAATGAGTCGGGCATGGTGGCACGCGCCTGTAGTCCCACCTACTCGGGAGGCTGAGGCAGAAGAATCGCTTGAACCCCGGAGGCGGAGGTTGCAGTGGGCCCAGATCGCGCCACTGCACTCCAGCCTGGTGACAGAGCGAGACTCCGTCTCAAAAAAAAAAAAAAAAAGAAAGAAAGAAAAGAAAGGCGACACTTAACACACAGCAGGCGCTAAACACACATTCTTTGGGTTTGCATTTTGTCCAGAGCTAAGAGTAACAGGCATTCGGCAAAGGCTGGGGACGGGACGGGGACGGGGGCGGACGCGCGGAACTGAAAGAATCTCAGACTTCGGGTTCCAGTTCCCCCAGCCGGACTAAGCTACTCGCCCGGCCCCGGGCCCAAAGGCCTCAGGTGGTAACGGCCAAAGGGTCACCGCCTCCGCGGGGCGCTGCGTCCACAACACGGGTGGGGAAACGGTCAAGGTTTGCGGCGTTTGGGTTCATGACTGCAAAAACACCGTCCACTACGGGCCAAGCCGAGTGCCATGCCCTGCACCTACGTCTAAGCTCACAGCAGCCCGCACTGGGGCGAGGAATCCTGAGGAGGCTCGCCCCGGTCTCTGGGACTGGGCTCTCGCCGCGCTGCCTCAGGGCGCAAGTTCCACGCGCTTCGCCGGGCGCAGAAAAGCACCCCCCGCTCCGCGGCGCCCAGGCCGCCTCCCCCGACAACGCACCTCCGCAGCGACGCCTGCGCCTGGAAGGGGCTCGGCATCTAGACCGCAGCCCCGCGCGGGCCACACTCCCCAGCAAGTGCCTCGGCAGCGTCCCAGGAGACTCGCCGCGCTCGCCGGAGCTGGACGTGGCGCCGAGGTCCGCGTCGCCGCCCGCACCCCGGTGCTCACCTGTACCACGCAGCAGCCCAGGGCATCCTTCTGAGCGTCAGGAGGGACGATGTTCCGGGGCGTGTGGCCCGGGTGCAAGAAATGAACCATGGCAACCCCGGCGGCGGGGCGTCAAAAAGAGAGCCGGCGTCGAGCCGGAGCCCGGATCCCGCGAGAACCAAGCGGGCGGCTGCCAGGACGCGCCCACCACGCCTGCGAGGCACACGGAGCTAGCGCCGCGCCCTGCCGGCGAGCTTTTGAAATGCCCGGCGAGGCGACGCGCACGCGGGGGCCGGCCCGCCGCAGACCCCACCCCCCGGGCGGCCTCCTAGCCCCATCCGCCCTCCGACACGCCGCTGCCGGGGCCAACCGTTCTCCTCCCGCCTCCCCAGCCTCCCCAGCCTCCCCAGACCAACCTGCCACGACCCAGCCGCTCACCCACTCCTTCCCAGCCCTGCACCTCAGGGCTTGAGAGGATATTCCCCGAGGACCGGCTGTGTAGGTTTGGGGAATACTGTATATATATATACATGTACACACACACACACACACACACACACACACACACACACACATATTCATTATTTCTATATATGTATATATTTTTTAAAGCTTTCATACATTAAAATATATATTTCAAAGACTTTGCCCCTGAAAATCTGGCAACAGCACCTCTCTAACGGTCCTCTCTGTTTCAACTCCTTAGAGTATCTGGATAAATCAAATATAAAACGAATACAAAATATTGGCAAGTATCTACCAAAAAATCTATTTAGCTTTCTTGTTACTTAAAAAGTACTCGAGAAGACCCTTATAACCTGCTCCAAGAAAGAAACCCCGAGAGACCCTTCTAACTTTCTCCAGGAAAGAAACTCCACAAGTTAGTACACATTAGCTAATTTAAGAGAAAGCAATACCTTGGAAAAGGAAAGTTCTCAAGAGCATGAGCCTTGGAGTTTGAATCCTGAATTAGAATGCCCGCTCAGCCATCTAGTGTTTGAGAACCTGGAGCAAGATTCTTGATGTCTCTGAAGCTCAACTTCCTCATCAGTAAAATAGAATGAGAATGCTTTATCTCACAGACTTAATGTAAGGATTAAATAATGTATGTAAAACACATCACAATGCTTTTTACATAGTAAGTCCTTGATAAGTGGATTGGATTCAGATGTTAAAATTATTTTTAAGTACTTTGCCTAATGCTTTTCTTTCATTTATTTATTCTTTTATTTAATCCACTTACTACAAGAAGAAAAAAAATCCTGTGCTGTAGGTATCATCCCCATTTTTCTCACAGGGAAACTGAAGAACTGACAGGTTGAATAGACAACACGTTTTTTGGCCAGCTGATGAGTGGCCAACCTGGGAGTCAAAATTGAGTTTTCTTACTGCAAGTCCAATCAATATGCTTTTTTTTTTTTTTTTTTTTTAGACGGAGTCTCGCTCTGTTGCCCAGGCTGGAGTGCAGTGACGCGATCTCAGCTCACAGCAACCTCCGCCTCCTGGGTTCAAGTGATTCTCCTGCCTCAGCCTCCCAAGCAGCTGGGACTCCAGGCGCGCGCCACCACACCCGGCTAATTTTTGTATTTTTAGTAGAGACAGCGTTTCACCATGTTGGCCAGGATGGTCTAGATCTCCTGACCTGGTGATCCGCACGCCTCGGCGTCTCAAAATGTTGGGATTACAGGCGTGAGCCACCGTGCCCCCGCCAATATGCTTTTGTTAACGGTGGAGGGTGTTCATGTTCTTGGTGTCTTGAACAAAGAATTGGACAAAACGCACAAACAAGGAAGGAATGAAGGGATTTATTGAAAATGAAAGTACACTCCACAATGCCACAATGTGGGAGTGGGCCCGAGCACTGGGGCTCAAAGACCCCGTTACAGAATTTTTGGGAGTTTAAATACCCTCTACTTGGGGTATGCCCTATGTAAATGACGAGGATGAAGGAAAGTTACAGTCATTTCCTCGGCTTTTGCCCAATGGAGAGGATATTTCCTATTACAGCTGAAGTGTGAATTTCAGCAATTTTAACTTTAATATAGAACCTGGTAAGTTATGTTCTCATAAGGTTTGACTATTTCCAGCATATCTAGAGGTGTGGCCAACTGCATATGTCCCAGGCCTTACCGAGCTAGAAAACAGGCAAGTTAAACAATTTTCAAAAGCCAAGGAAGCAGTTTATGACCTTAAAGCATTTAGCAAACCTAATATTTGAACATAATTTTGACCACATGTTTACATTTTGAAGACATTTGTATTTTATCAATAATCTTTAAACCCATCTTTATTTCCCAAAGATTACCCAAGTCACATGAACTAAATAAAAGGCATTATGTTTTTCACTTTTCTGACAAAATATTTTATTTAAGCTCTTATTATTAAACCAATTAATTTAAAACGTAACACATGAGGCCAGGCACGGTGGCTCATGCCTGTAATCCCAGCACTATGGGAGGCCGAGATGGGTGGATCGCCTGAAGTCAGGAGTTCAAGACCAGCCTGGCCAACATAGTGAAACCCAATCTCTACTAAAAATACACAAAAAAATTACCTGGGCATGGTGGCGCATCCCTGTAATCCCAGCTACTTGGGAGGCTGAGCCAGATTTGCTTGAACCCAGGAGGCAGAGGTTGCAGTAAATTTAGATTGCGCCATTGCACTCCAGCCCCGGTGACAAAGCGAGACTTTGTTGCAAAAAGTAAAAATAAGTAAATAAAAGTGGCTGGGTGCAGTGGCTCACACCGTAATCCCAACATTTTGGGAGGCCAAGGCAAGTGAATCACCTGAAGTCGGGGTTTGAGACCAGCCTGACCAACATGGAGAAACCCCGTTTCTACTAAAAACACAAAAATTAGCTGGGCATGGTGGTGTGCGCCTGTAGTCCCAGCTGCTCG
Source organism: Homo sapiens (assembly GCF_000001405.40). Classification (NCBI taxonomy): domain Eukaryota; kingdom Metazoa; phylum Chordata; class Mammalia; order Primates; family Hominidae; genus Homo; species Homo sapiens. The sequence continues at coordinate 52,840,097 of NC_000001.11, read as the reverse complement.
GGAGGCTGAGGCAGGAGAATTCCTTGAACGCAGGAGGCGGAAGTTGCAGTGAGCCGAGATGACGCCACTGCACTCCAGCCTGGCGACAGAGTGAGACTCTCTTTCTTAAAAAATAAATAAAAATAAAAAAATAGGGCCGGGCGCGGTGGCTCACGCCTGTAATCCCAGCACTTTGGGAGGCCGAGGCGGGCGGATCACGAGGTCAGGAGATCGAGACCATCCCGGCTAAAACGGTGAAACCCCGTCTCTACTAAAAATACAAAAAATTAGCCGGGCGTAGTGGCGGGCGCCTGTAGTCCCAGCTACTTGGGAGGCTGAGGCAGGAGAATGGCGTGAACCCGGGAGGCGGAGCTTGCAGTGAGCCGAGATCCCGCCACTGCACTCCAGCCTGGGCGACAGAGTGAGACTCCGTCTCAAAAAAAAAAAAAAAAAAAAAAATAGGCTTTGCCGTTTCTGTCATGGGCACAAAGCGGTGGCCTGATTGTCAGTCTTCTCCTGGCATTTTTAAGGCCAGGAGCCAAGTGCTGCTTGTGGGCAAATAACCTACAGAGCGGTTTTGCTTTTAAAATTATTGTTATTGGCCAGGCGTGGTGGCTCACTCCTGTAATCCCGGCACTGTGGGAGGCCGAGGTGGATGGATCACTTGAGGTCAGGAGTTCGAGACCAGCCTGACCAACATGATGAAACTCTCTCTCTACTAAAAATACAAAAATTAGCCAAGCGGGGTGGCAGGCGCCTGTAATCCCAGCTACTTGGGAGGCTAAAGCAAGAGAATAACTTGAACCTGGGAGGTGGAGATTGCAGTGAGCCGAGATTGTGCCATTGCACTCCAGCTTGGGTGACAAAAAGGAAACTGTGTCTCAAAAAAAATAAATAAATAAAATCGGCTGGGCGCAGTGGCTCATGCCTGTAATCCCTGCACTTCGGGAGGCTGAGGTGGGTGGATCACCTGAGGTCAGGAGTTCAAAACCAGCCTGGCCAACATGATGAAACTCCATCTCTAGTAAAAATACAAAATTAGCCGGGCTTGGTGGCAGATGCCCGTAATCCCAGCTACTCGGGAGGCTGAGGCGGGAGAATCGTTTAAACATGGGAGGCAGAGGTTGCAGTGAGCCCAGATTGCGCCATTGCATTCCAGCCTAGGCAACAGAGCAAGACTCCATCTCAGACAAAAATAAAAAATAAATAACAATAAATTTAAAAAATGAAATTATCATTGTTATTATTTGGAGCACAGAACAGTCGATCTGGGCACCCTGTCCTGTGTCTTTTGATACTCTGTGTTTAAGAAAAAAAAATCAATTATGTGTTTTATTTCATGAATCAGTTTTGGAGGGCTTCTGGCTATCCTTTTTTCCTCATATTCTACTGAGATTATTTTTTATTTTTTTATTTTTTTTTTGAGATGGGGTCTCACTCTGTCACCCAGGCTGGAGTGCAGTGGTGCAATCTCGGCTCACTGCAAGCTCTGCCTCCCAGGTTCATGCTGTTCTCCTGCCTCAGCCTCCCAAGTAGCTGGGACTACAGGCGCCCACCACCACGCCTGGCTAACTTCTTGTATTTTTAGTAGAGACGGGGTTTCACCGTGTTAGCCAGGATGGTCTCGATCTCCTGACCTTGTGATCCGCCCGCCTCGGCCTCCCAAAGTGCTGGGATTACAGCTTGAGCCACTGCGCCCGGCCCTTCTACTGAGATTATACAAAGCAGCAAGTTGCCAGGCGCAGTGGCTCACGCCTGTAATCCCAGTCCTTAGGGCGACAGAGACAGGGGAATAGCTTGAACCCAGGAGTACGAGACCTGCCTGGGCAATATGGCGAGACCCCATTCCCACAAAAAGGAGGAAAAAAAGGACAAAAAACAAAAACAAAGCTGCATGTTTTCCACAGAGTAGGAAATCCAATGGCAAGATAGTGTGTAGGTTTGGGCTGGGTGCAGTGGCTCAAGCTTGTAATTAATCCCATTGGCAGGCCAAGGTGGGAGGAGTGCTTGAGTCCAGGATTTCGATGCCAGCCTGGGCAACATAATGAGACACCCCCCACCCCCGCCACATCCTTTTTTTTTTTCTTGAGACTGAGTCTCACTTTTGTTGCCCATGCTAGAGTGCAGTGGCATGATCTCGGCTCACTGCAGCCTCCGCCTCCTGGGTTCAAATGATTCTCCTGTCTCAGCCTCCAGAATAGCTGGGATTACAGGCATGTGCCACCACGCCCGGCTAATTTTGTATTTTTAGTAGAGACAGGGTTTCTCCATGTTGGTCAGGCTGGTCTTGAACTCCCGACCTCAGGTGATCTGCCCACCTCGCCCTCCCAAAGTGATGGGCGTCCCAAACTGATGGGATTACAGGCATGAGCCACCGTGCCCTGCCAGGCACATCTTAAACAAAAATTAAGAAAAAATAGTGTGGATGTTTAATCTACAAGTTGCTCTATTTGCTACCTGTGTGATTTGAGGCAAGTCATTTGACCTCAGTAGGCTTCCCTTCATCTGAAAAATGGAGGATAATTATCTTCCCTACAAGATTTTTTTTTTGAGATGTAGTTTTGCTAGGTCCCCCAGGCTGGAGTGCAAGGCACCATCTCAGCTCACTGCAACCTCTGCCTCCCGCGTTCAAGTGATTATCCTGCCTCAGCCTCCCGAGTAGCTGGGATTACAGGCACCTGCCACCATGCCAGGGTAATTTTTTTTTTTTTTCTGAGACAGAGTTTTGCTCGTCATCCAGGTGGGAATGCAATGGCCCGATCTCGGCTCACTGCAACCTCCGCCTCCTGGGTTCAAGTGATTCTCGTGCCTCAGCCTCCCAAGTAGCTGGGATTACAAGTGCCTGCCACCAAGCCCAGCTAATTTTTGTATTTTTAGTAGAGATGGGGTTTCGCCAAGTTGGTTAGGCTGGTCTCAAACTCCTGACCTTAGGTGATCCACCCGCCTTGGCCTCCCAAGGCGCTGGGATTACACAGGAGCCATAACACCCAGCCCTTGCCTGGCTGATTTTTGCATTTTTAGTAGATACAGGGTTTCACCATGTTGGCCAGGCTGGTCTCCAACACCTGACCTCAAGTGATTTTATTTGCCTCAGCTTCCCAAAGTGCTGGGATTACAGGCGTGAGCTACTGCGCCTGGCCTTAAATGGTTCCTTTTATAATGTGTGTTAATGTTCAAGGACAAGAGAGCTAAGGTTTGTTGTTGTTGTTGTTGTGTTCTTATCTCTTAGATTTACATTCCAATCTAGAAGACACTCTTCAGAGGCAATCCTTGACCAAGTCACTGCAAGATGAATTTATTTACTTATTTATTTTTTTGAGATGGTGTCTCACTCTGTCACCCAGGCTAGAGTGCAGTGGCATGATCTTAGCTGCAACCTCTTGCCTCCTGGGTTCAAGCGATTCTCCTGTCTCTGCCTCCTGAGTAGATGGAATAATAGTTGTGAGCCACCACGCCCGGCTAATTTTTGTATTTTTAGTAGAGACAGGGTTTCACTATGTTGGCTAGGCTGGTCTTGAACTCCTGACCTCAGGTGATCTGCCTGCCTCGGCCTCCCAAAGTGCTGGGATTACAGGTGTTAGCTTCCATGCAAAATGATTTTAAACAGCTATCCTACTGAAAGCACAGGAGTCTTCAACATCTGGCCACCGGCATCACCTCCCCAAACCAGCCCCAAAGACTGGCTTCTGGAAGCCAAGAGCTCTTATGTCTACTCCACACTATGGCTTGCTTTTTCATAAGTTGGAGCCTGTATAAAGGCTGAATTTTGAGACTGCATTAGAGTCTTAAATTATAAGGGATGAAAACGATTAATGTGAATGCTCAAGGTTTCCACCCTTTGCTCCCACTTCTCAATTTGTGGAGGTATGCAGATAGACCAATTCGCTGGACTTTTATGATGTAGATTGACGATGTGGGACTAGAAGATAAAAGTGTAATGGGGAAAGAAAGGAACACTTCAGTTAAGAAGTGGCTAAGTCAATCAACATAACAAAAACTTCAAGTAGGGGAAAGGGAAGAATAAAGGATGGCTTTTTATTTTTAATTTATTTTTATTTATTATTATTATTTTTTTGAGACAGGGTCTCACTCTGTCACCCAGGCTGGAGGCAGTGGTGGGATCTTGGCTTACTGCAACGTCGACCTCTGGGTCCCAGGGTTCAAGCGATTCTCCTGCCTCAGCCTCCAGAGTAGCTGGGATTACAGGCACGCACCACCATACCTGGCTAATTTTTGTATTTTTGGTAGAGACAGGGTTTCACCATGTTGGCCAGGCTGATCTAGAACTCCTGATCTCAAGTGATCCGTCCGCCTCGACCTCCCAAAGTGCTGGGATTACAGGCATGAGCCACTGCGCCCAGCCCCCCTTTATTTATTTATTTATTTTTTTGAGATGGAGCCTTGCTCTGTCGCCCTGGGCTGGAGTGCAGTGGCGCGATCTTGGCTCACCACTTCTGCCTCCTGGGTTCAAGCTATTCTTCTGCCTCAGCCTTCCGAGTAGCTGGGACTACCGGCTCCCACCACCATGCCTGGGTAATTTTTTTTATTTTTTATTTTTAGTAGAGATGGGGTTTTACCATGTTGGCCAGGCTGGTCTCAAACTCCTGACCTCGAGTGATCAGCCCGCCTCGGCCTCCCAAAGTGCTGGGATTACAGGCATGAGCCACCGCGCCTGGCCCAATCTCACTGCTTTTGTGCCTCACTTCTGATTCCTGTACGCCACTTTACCTTTTTTATCTATACATTTGTTCTGACCACGCGGCACCCCAGGAATCTCTGTGAATCTGCTGTGATTCTGGGGACTGCCTGATTCACGAATGGTTCATTGCTCAATTAAACTTCTTTAAATTTAATTCGGCTGAAGTTTTTCTTTTATCAGATGGTGTCAGAAGCGGGTTCTGAAATGGAGCTTCTAGCGACCCCAGGAGTGCTGAGTGAAGACAATGCAGGACCCATTTTTGTGTCCATGGATCTCTCAGAGTGGCTGGGGATCATCGTAAGCTCCCTCTCAGATTTTGGAGCTCCATGGATTTGTGTTTTGGAGTTTGAGAAAATTTCTGATCCAAACTGGGTTTGGAGTTGCGACAGAAACTGGACTGGGTCCAGGAACAGGTTTGATCTGGGAATTAACTGGCTTGGATCAAGTTAGAGGCCTCTTACATCTGACTGGGTCAGAAAGGAACTGGTGGTAAAGCAGTAATATTGCAGGGGTTATAAAATTTGGCTTTTGAAAATTCACATGGATTTTTGTGTTCTGCCCCTTTGTTTCATTTTTTGTGCATGCTTACGTAGGAAAAAAAGTCATTGGCTAAGTTAATCAAGAGAACCTGAGTAAAGTCAATATTCTAGGGAAAAATGGGAAAATGGGATCCTTAATTTCTGGAAAACTGAGTTCTTTTTGGGTTATACATTAGGCCTGGGAGGCAGCGAAGTCTTACAGAAATGGCAAAATCTTACTAAAGGTGACTTACAGTGGAATGTGCCGAATGAACAACAATGCACTGAAGTACATTTAAACATGAGGGCTCTTCGTAAAGCCCCTTTTGGCTAAGAACAGGTTTGGTACTACAGCATGTCAACTGCTATTCTCTTTGGAATAATCTGCCTTGCACTCTTTGCTGAAGGCTGTGAGTGGCCATTAGGCATGTACAGGATCATGGGACGGGGGAGCGTTTTCCCCCCTAAAAGGGGAAACTTGAGAGCTGATGAGACTGCTGGAAAAGATCCCTTTGCTACCGAGAAGCAGCTGACTGAACTTTTCAGAGTCGTTGCAATGGGTGGGTCTTTCTCTGGCTTCCCTGATCATTTCACCTTCCCAACCCTGCCGCAGGCAATGCTTTTTTCTCTCTCTCCCTTTCTTTTCTTTTTTTATTTTGGGTTGGAGTCTTGCTCTATCACCCAGGCTGGATGGAGTGCAGTGGCAAGATCTTGGCTCACTGCAACCTCTGCCTCCCGGGTTCAAGCAATTTTCCTGCCTCAGCCAACTGAGTAGCTGGGACTACAGGCGTGCGCCACCACGCCCAGCTAATTTTTTGTATTTTTAGTAGAAACAGGGTTTCACCCTGTTGGCCAAGCTGGTCTTGAACTCCTGACCTGAAACAATCCGCCCGCCTTGGCCTCCCAAAGTGCTGGGATTACAGGCATGAGCCACCTTGCCTGGCCCGGCTCCCTTGCTTATCTTTTCTGTTACTCAGGGCGACCATCTTGCCCAGAGACCACAGGTTGAAATTCCTGGTCGGAGGTTGGATTAACGATGATGGGGCACAACCAGAGGCAAGTTTGAGCTCTGTCAGTTTGATATTGGGTGCTAAGCAGAGTGACTAATGTCTGTTTTGTCACACGTATCTTGCTCTGGCCAGAACGAAGAAAGATAATTTTCTTTTATGATGCGGCTTGGCCCCCAGAGTGATGATGCAGCAAGCTGAGTCACTAGGGCCACTCAGGGAAAGGGAACCCAGAAGCCTGGCATGCTGGCAAAAGGGTAGGAATTTTTTTTTTTTTGAGACGGAGTCCCGCCCTGTCGCCCAGGCTGGAGTGCAGTGGCATTATCTTGGCTCACTGCAAGCTCCACCTCCCGGGTTCACGCCATTCTCCCACCTCAGCCTCCCCAGTAGCTGGGACTACAGGCGCCCGCCACCACGCCCGGCTAATTTTTTTTTTTTTTTTTTTTTAGTATTTTTAGTAGTGACGGGGTTTCACTGTGTTAGCCAGGATGGTCTCTATCTCCTGACCTCGTGATCCACCCAACTCGGCCTCCCAAAGTGCTGGGATTACAGGAGTGAGCCACCACGCTTGGCCAGGAATTTCTTACCAGTCAAATTTCTGGCTTCTCTCTCTCTGTGCAAATGGTTGAATGAATGGTAAAAACCACTGTTTGTCTCCATCTTGTTTTACGTCCTTAGGAGCTTGACCTTGTAACCATGTGGCAATACTTTCTCTTGGTCTTTGCCTTCCAGGGAACAATAATTTTAGGGTTTCTGTCATAGTTAGCTCTAAAAATTATCTTTTAACTAAAAGCCTTTGCAAGCTCAAAATTAACTATTCTAAACTCCTTCTGGGAAGGGAAAGAAAAGACTGCCGTGTGCTGTAGCTCAGTAGTCAAGGCTTTGCCCTTTCACACTAGCTCAATTCCCTGCTTAGGAAGTAAGTCCTTTCCGGTTTAATAACTGCATGACCGTCTCTAGTCTCTTCTCCACTGACTATCTTAAATCTTCCTTTCTCTGAGAACCTTCCTGAGTCCTTAACTTTACCTTTGGTAAAGTTCAAAAGCCAGGAATATCAGCCTTTTGGCCTGGCTAAAATTGGGTAATAAGACATTTTAAAAGGATTTTATTAAAGAGTGCTATGGTTAAAAGTCAGCTTAATTAAAAGTGAATATTCAAGTTCTAACAGCCTGGACTCCTTGGGAAAAACAGGAGGCACCAGAGACCCCCTTTCATGGCCCTGTTCTTTCAAGGCCCGGCATTTTTGTTTACCATTTAAGTAAACTACAAAAGAAAAAGGGGGAAGGGAAGGAAAGGAGACAATCAGTCGGCCTCAGGCTATCTTCATTGGGTCGTTTGGAAAGCTGAATCTCCTTGCTATCAGAATAATGTTTCTTCCTTTTAAAAATTTTCAAGTTGGCCTGGCGCTGTGGCTCACACCTGTAATCCCAGCACTTTGGGAGGCCGAGGCAGGCGGATCACCTGAGGTCAGGAGTTCCAGACCAGCCTGGCCAACATAGTGAAACCCCGTCTCTACTAAAAATACAAAAATTAGCCAGGCGTGGTGGCATGCACCTGTAATCCCAGCTACTCAGGAGGCTGAGGCAGAAGAATCTCTTGAAACCAGGAGGCGGAGGTTGCAGTGAGCCAAGATCGTGCCATTGCACTCCAGCCTGGGTGACAAGAGTGAAAGTCCATCTCAAAAAAAAAAAAAAAGAAAGAAATTTTCAAGTTATCATTTTGGCTAAATGACTTACAGTAACTTAAGATTCTATTTTGTAATATTCCATGTTCAATGTTTTAAACCTTTGGTATTTATTTAACCTTTCAAAATCAAGCTCTAGATTATCATGCTAAATCAGCCAATATTCAAATTGTTTAAATATACAATTTGAATGAACTCCATGGTTTAAGTCAAATTACCTGTGATAACCCATTAGTTATCAGTGCCATGCACCTATATTGGAGAAACAACTGGTATTCAATAGGACCTAAGTCCAGTGGTAAGCATGGACTCATGAAGAACCAGGACGGCCACCTTGTCCTTCCTAAGTCCTTAAGCTTTTGTTATTAAAGGTTCTGCATTCCATGACTCGTCATGGAAAAGATAAAATAATTCAAATTATATTGATGCAGTGACTTACAAATTGTGGAAAGTTTAAAACCAATGTTTGCTTCCATATTCCTGGGAAGACAATCAAAACTTCAAGTGTATTTGCCTACCTGATGGGCTAAACATTTATAAAAGGATTTCATTGTATTGTCATTTTCAATGCATGTTTTCTGGTTGTATAAAAACTTTCACATGCATGAGGCTGATATTATAATAGTAGATTATGCTACAGTGTATTTTCACCAGGTAAAGAAAGCTTTTTATGGGTCACTAAGGACAATCCCTTCACAATCTAGAACCCGGAGATTGGATATTCTTTTATATATATATATTTTTTTTTTTGAGATGGAGTTTCACTCTTGTCGCCCAGGCTGGAGTGCAATGGCACCATCTTGGCTCACTGCAACCTCGCCTCCCAGGTTCAAGCGATTCTCCTACCTCAGCCTCCCAAGTAGCTGGGATTACAGGTGTGAGCCACCACACCCGGCTAATTTTTGTATTTTTAGTAGAGATGGGGTTTCACCATATTGGCCAGGCTGGTCTTGAACTCCTGACTTCAGGTGATCCATCTGCTTCGGCCTCCCAAAGTGCTGGGATTACAGAAGATTGAATCTCTTTTTTTCTTCTTTTTTTTTTGAGACAGAGTTTCGCTTTTGTTGCCCACGCTGGAGTGCAATGGTGCGATCTCGGCTCACCCGCAACCTGTGCCTCCCGGGTTCAAGCGATTCTCCTGCCTCAGCCTCCTGAGTAGCTGATATTGCAGGCATGCGCCACCACGCCCAACTAATTTTGTATTTTTAGTAGAGACAGGATTTCTCCATGTTGGTCAGGCTGGTCTTGAACTTCTGACCTCAGGCGATCTGCCCACCTCAACCTCCCAAAGTGATGGGATTACAGGCATGAACCACCGTGCCTGGCCTAGAAGATTGGATCTTCTGAGAACATCAGAGAAAGATTGTCCTTGTCGTCCACACTACAGCAAAACTCTGGAGCCTTGAACCTTGGGTTCATAATCTCACAACTGAAAAGGGTCCCTCCACATTCCTGGAACAGTACACCCACTGGAACCCTTAAGGTAAAACCGACTAGAAACGTTTCTCCCCAGAAGAAGATGGCATCCTTGATGTGAACAGCTTTTCCCAGGATCACAGATCAAGACTTCTACTATCACGAGACTCTTATTTTTGAATATTTTTTCCTTGCTTATGCTTCTATGAATAATAGAAATGAAAAGAGGGTCTGTTATGTGCACTTTTAGGGTATACTTTTATTTGTGAAGGATTTTTGCAGACAGCCTTATACGTGAATAACCTTATACTTTAATACATAAAAGATGAAGGCCCAGTGTAGGTAACAAACTTTAGTGGTACATACATTGCCTCATTCATAATCAGTCAAAACTCCTCTTAACCCACATCATGGATTAAAGCGAACACTGCCAGGAGGCCTTCACTCTTCTACCAGGACATCATTTGTTAGGTCCTTTTTCCATGGTTTAGAATAAAAGAGGCAATAATTAGAAATGTCTCCCTCATAATAGGCTCTACAGCAAATTCTACTTTAAAGGCTATCATTACACAACAGACTTTAAATTATCTGTGAAAGTTATGCTAGGCCAGGTGCAGTGGCTCACGCCTGTAATCCCTGCACTTTGGGAGGCTGAGGCAGGCGGATCATGAGGTCAGGAGTTCGAGACCAGCCTGGCCAATATGGCAAAACCCGTCTCTGATAAAAATACAAAAATTACCTGGGCGTGGTGGCTCACACCTGTAATCCCAGCTACTCGGGAGGCTGAGGCAGGAGAATCCCCTGAACCTCGGAGGCGGAGGTTGCAGAGAGCTGAGATGGTGCCACTGCACTCCAGCCTAGGTGACAAGAGCAAAACTCTGTCTCAAAACAAAATAAATAAATAAAATAGAAAAATTAGCCAGGCATGGTGGTGCACACCTGTAGTCCCAGCTACTCGGGAGGCTGAGGCAGGAGAATCGCTGGAATCTAGGAGGAGGAGGTCGCAGTGAGCCAAGATTGCGCTACTGCACTCCAGCCTGGGCGACAGAGTGAGACTCCATCTCAAAACAAAACAAACTTGACAATCACCCTAACACATCTAATCTCATTTTTATTGGTGAAGCAGTAGTATTTGTAGTGACCATTCATTAACAGCTCTAAAGCATGCATTTATTTTTTGAGATGCAGTCTCACTCTGTAGCCCAGACTGGAGAGCAGTGGCGTGATCTCCGCTCATTGCCAACCTCCTCTCCCAGGTTCAAGCGATTCCCCTGCCTCAGAATCCCCAGTAGCTGGGATTACAGATGGGAGCCACCACGTGCTAATTTTGTATTTTCATTTTTTATTTATTTATTTTTTATTTTGGGATGGAGTCTCGCTCTGTCGCCCAGGATGGAGTGCAGTGGCATGATCTTGGCTCACTGCAACCTCCGCCTCTTGGTTCAAGCGATTCTCTTGCCTCAGCATCCCGAGTAGCTGGGATTATAGGCGCACACCACCACGCTGGGCTAATTTTTGTTATTTTTAGTAGAGACAGGGTTTCACTATGTTGGTCAGGCTGGTCTTGAACTCCTGATCTCATCATCCACCAGCCTTGGCCTCCCAGAGTGCTGGGATTACAGGCGTGAGCCACCGCGCCCGGCCTAATTTTTGTATTTTTAGCAGAGATGGGGTTTCACCATGTTGGCCAGCTGGTCTCCAACTCCTGACCTCAGGTGATCCACCTGCCTCGGGATTACAGGCATGGGCTGCCGTGCCTGGCCAGCTCTATAGTATTTACACACTAACACTGCCCTCTAACACCATCCTCAAGAACAGTCAATCCCCTTTCCTCCTTGGAGCATGTTCTTTTCTGTACCATTCATTTGATGCTTAATCACATATTACCCCAAATCTAAAAAATTTCATATTATTGTGCACCAATGTGGTGGGACATGGAGAGGAAAACCCACCATATTGAGAATTTGGAAATAATTGTAGTGCAGGCGGGGCTTGGTGGCTCACGCCTGTAATCCCAGCACTTTGGGAGGCCAAGGCAGGTAGATCACCTGAGGTCAGGAGTCCAAGACCAGCCTGGCCGACATGGTGAAGCCCTGTCTCTACCAAATATACAAAAGTTAGCCAGGTATGGTGCTGCATGCCTGTAATCTCAGCTACTGGGGAGGATGAGGCAGAATCACTTGAACCTTCGGAGGCAGAGGTTGCAGTGAGCTGAGATTGTGCCACTGCACTCCAGCCTGGGTGACAGAGTGAGACTCCATCTAAAAAAAAAACAAAAAAAAACAAAAAAAGCATTGTAGTGCAGTCTGTCACTGACTTGCTATGTGACTTCAACAAACACATTTTACTTTTTTTTATTTTTTTTTTTTAAGACAGGGTTTAGTTCTGTCACCCAGGCTGGAGTACTTGACCTCCCAGGCTCAAACAATCCTCCTACCTCAGCTCCCGAATACTCTGTAGGACTAATTTATTTATTTTTTGTAAAGATGAGGTCTTTGTTGCCCACGCTGGTCTCAAACTCCTGGGCTCAAGCAATCCTCCCACCTCAGCCTCTCAAAGTGCTGGGATTACAGGGTGTCAGCCATCACGCCCAGCCACACCTATTTTCTTTAACTGTAAAATGAAGGTTCTGAAACTAAAATCACTAAGGATTCTTCCCAGCCATGGAGTCCTTATATTAATATAAGAATATAATACTTCAGTTTTTAGGATCCCCCCTCACTAAGTGCACTTAAACAATATATGTTATGCCAGTTAATTATCTCAATCTTTGTGTGAATGTTAACTCAAATCTTCTCTCCGGGAAGTCTTCTTGGACTGTCTAATGGGTGTCCAGTCTGGATTAGGTGTGGTCTCTCTCTACAAGTATTGAGGACTGGTCTTTAATATACTGTTATGCAATATTTATCTGTTTATTTAATATTTACTCTTCTCCAGTAAATTTAAGTTCCCTGAAGTATTTATAAGTTATATAAGTTACAACTCTTAAATAGTACTTAGCATAGGTATTTAAGGAAATGAATGTTCAAGGCCAACGCTGAGTGGGGGGAAAAAAAAAGGAAATGGATGATGTTCCAGTATTAAAAATGTCTGCAGGCTGGGCGTGGTGGCTCACACCTATAATTCCAGCACTTTAGGAGGCTGAAGCGAGGATAGTTTGAGGACAAGAGTTCCAGACCAGCCTGAGCAACATAGGGAGACCCCTGTCTCTACAAAAAATTAAAAAATTAGCCTAGTGTGGTGGCATGCACCACGATCATGCCATTGCACTCCAGCCTGAGTGACAGAGTAAGACCCTGTCTCAAAAAATAAAATAAAAATAAAAACTTCTCCAGTAAAAGTAGCCTTTTTCAGAAAGCAATCATTACAAGTGGATCACTAAGGAATTTGAAGTTTGCATTAATATTAACTTTTAAAGCCAAATGTCTAGAATAAAAGTAGACAAGACACACTTTACATAAAATTTATAACATTTATTTAGGCAAAAAAAATCCCAAAACAAAAATCTGTACACACAACATTAATACTTAAGTGATGTCCTGATTTAAAATACAGCATGATTCATGTACAGAATACTCCCATTCATCTGGCCATAGTGAGAACAGTGCCTTCAGTCCAGATAATTGAGAGTCTTTGAAATATACACACTTTCCAATGAATTTTTTATATCCTTAGAAAGGAGTTAAACTGTTCTATCAGAATTCAAACAAAAGATAACTTCTCTCACACTCATAAGTCAGTGAGAATTTGACAGTGGGAATTCTACAAAAGTCAGGGATTTCTTAATTTTTGTTGTTGCAGATTATCTGAGAGTATAAAGTTTTTAAGGAAAAACAATGCTCTTAAGATCCTGCTTTTAATAAAGTGTCTCAGCTTTCATTAGCTAAGTAGCTTCTTCCTTCTAGGCTGCTTAAAATAAGCTTAAAAGGACCCAATTTGAACAGTTTTTCCCAAAATAAGTCCAAAATTAAACACATAACATTAATAAAATAGATTGATGATTTCCCACAAAATAATTTTGATAAACTTGGATTTTGGAAATATTCTTAATGGCCATTCTGTCTAGCTGTAAAGTTAGGCTGTGCTATCCAAAAGAGCTTTACTTTAGAGTCATGAGAAGCAGCACTGATCTTTGCAAAACTTACCCCAAAAAATGGGGAGAGAGAAAAACAGGAAGAAAAGTCTCTTTCTTAGGCTACCAGTCAGTTAACAAAGTATCTTAGATTAAGATTTGGAAACCAAAGAATGCATAATTAGGAGTGTACCATATCATGCAAAGTCTATGAAATACTAAATAAGGTAAAACAGTTAATCATTTAAAGCACGATGAGCAAATTCTCTTATCATACGGCTATTCTCATCACCGGACGAAGGTTGGTTTTGCATTATTCCTAAAATAAAACAGTTCGTGAGTGAATACTGCAAATTAAAAACTGTCAAAACACAGCAAATGATAAGGACTAAACATCCATTATCCACAAACTCATTTGAAACTACTACCATGGATTTGAGAGGGAAACCAAAAGTTTGCAAACCTCTCTGGGAGCTGTGTCAAAGTTAGTATTCTGAAGCCCTAGCAATACAAAGTCCCCAAATAAGTAAAATACAGATAAAAGTGGAAGAGCCTACATCAGCTCAAAGTAACATACTTCCTTTAACTTATGCCTTCAGTTTAATAATACTGTTTATACCACTACATTGTATAATAACGAAATAATGTAAACATACCATTAGAGGGCAGGAGAGGGATGGGTTTCACCATATACAAAGAGTTTAAGTTTGTTTTCCCTGCTACCTCTTTTTAACCTTGGGTGCAGCTGTACATTGTTCTATAGGGGTATTGTTCTATAGTTTAAAAACACTAAGCTAAATCTCTGGTAAATTAACCTAATTTAGCACATAAAATATGTTTTCATTAAACATATGGGATAGGAAGGGATAGGAAGATGGCCCGGTGTTATGTTGATGCATGGCATAATTAAAAACACAGCTAAGACCAGGCACTGTGGCTCATGCCTGTGATTCCAGCACTTTGGGAAGCTGAGGTGGGAAAGTCACTTGAGGCCAGGAGTTCGAGACCAGCCTGGGCAACACAGTGAGACACCATCTCTCTCTCTCGCTTTTTTTTTTTTTTTTTTTTTAACATAGCCAAATAAGATGACTGGGGAGAAAACAGATTAACACAAAAGGTCCCACCTGTAAGGGCAACTTCCTAAAGCTAGATATATAGAACCGATGGTTTTAAACATAAAACTTGATTATGTAGAAGTTTGCAAATGAAATATATCACGAAAGCAAATTCCCATGCAGCTTTATTCACCTCAACCATGTGTAATCTACTTAAGGTGACTAGTGCCACTATAAGGCATTACTGTCCCAGGGTGACAAGAAGCAATATTTATACTCAATTCCTGAAACTGGGGGTCTGATATGCTTTTTAAAAATCCTAAACTAACTAATATCAGTAGCCATGGAGTCATCGGCTTGAGGGTAAACTAATCCCTTATACCACTTGATTTATTTTATTAATTAGTTAATAATGCAGTTAATTTTCAACTGCAAAAAGAAAAAATTATTTTGTGGAGTAGAAAGACCACAGCAATAATTACTTGATGCAAAAAATAAGACACCTTAATTGTATTTGCTCAAATCTGTTGTCTTAATGATACCAATATGTATCATTATAATCTATTTTTTAAAAATTTTCCTCATTATGCCCTAGAACATCATTATACTCTAAAAAGTCAAATTCCATTTCCTTTAGATTTCCTTAATGTTGCTTGTGGACTGATGTAGTGATATTTTACATTGGAGCCCACCAATGATTTGAACAATGAGTGGTTCAACCCTAGTCTAAATTGTGCTTGAAACAGCACCTCTAGCCACTGAGAGATAACACTCAAAGGCACCAATAACAGTTATATTCTAGTCTACAGGTGCAAAAAGGAGGCCTTGTAGATTCTAACTATAGATACTGGCTACTTATGCCTCATAATTCCAATACATACATCCACTGTATTTTAGCCAGATTCAGGACCTTACACACAATTCTGTGCCTTAATTCTATACGCAATTTTAGGAACCATCCCAACTGCAAAGGCACTCAAATTTTTATATATTTGGGATGTAATAAATTATTATGCTTTTTTTTTTTTTGAGACGGAGTCTTACTCTGTCACCCAGGCTGGAGTGCAGTGGCATGATATTGGCTCACCACAACCTCCACCTCCCAGGTTCAAGCGATTCTCCTGCCTCAGCCTCCTGAGTAGCTGGGATTACAGGTGCCCGCCACCACACCCAGCTAATTTTTGTATATTTAGTAGAGACAGGGTTTCACCATTTGGGCCAGGCTGGTCTTGAACTCCTGACCTTGTGATCCACCCACCTCGGCCTCCCAAAGTGCTGGGATTACAGGCGTGAGCCACCGCGCCCGGCCTATTATGCTTTTAAGACTCAGAAGTATCTGGCCACTACTGATGTTTACAAAGTAGGAAATTTAGCCTGTAGTTCCAGCTACTCCAGAGGCTGAGGGGGTAAGATCACATAAGCCCAAGAGGCTGCAGTGAGGTATGATTGTGCCACTGCACTCCAGCTTGGGCGACAGAGTGAAACTCTGTCTCTACAAAAAGAAAAAAAGTAGGAAGTTTAATTTTTTTTTTCCCCAGAGTCTCACTCCGTTGTCCAGGCTGGAGTGCAGTGGCACGATCTTAGCTCACTGCAACCTCCACTTCCTGGGTTCAAGTGATTCTCGTGCCTCAGCCTCCCGAGTAGCTGGGACTATAGGCGTGCAAAAAAGCCACCATGCCCAGCTAGTTTTTGTATTTTTAGTAGAGACGGGGTTTCACCACGTTGGCCAGGGTGGTCTCGAACTCCTGATCTCAAGTGATCTGCCCGCCTCGGCCTCCCAGAATGCTGGGATTACAGGCAAGAGCCACTACGCCCACCCTTGCTTTTACATATTTTGGATGCTTCAACTATTAAGAAGTTATTCTGAGTAAAGAAGGGATTTACTGTTTTCTGTACACTTTTAGCCATTTCTGAAAATAATTTGTAAAGACAAAAACCTAGCATTAGCCTGTAAAGAAATATGCACTTTTGTCTTATAAAACAGAAACTTGAAGCCAAACTTCTTAAATAGGCTTTCCCTTAACTACACTAGATAAAAGACCTGGAAACGGTCAACATATCTAGCAATTTCCAAACTACCACAGGCCATCTCGTTTTCTGAACTTTGTCTTAGACATTAACATTCGAAAAAGGAAAAAAAAAAAAAAAACTTTTAAAAGAATTCTCTATTTTGTCTGAAATAAACTTAGTCTGTGAAAATTTATCTTACGCCTATAAAAATTCCTTAAGCCAATTAAGTCAGCATTAACCCAGCATTTAATATGGTTTTCAGTGATTCTAAATATCTATTTAGATATTTATTTGAGTCAGCGTCTCGCTCTGTTTCCCAGGTGCCACCACACCCAGCTAATTTAAAAAAAAAAAATTTTTTTTTTTGGTAGAGACCGAGTCTCACTATGTTGCCCAGGCTAGTCTTGAACTTCTGGGCTCAAGCAATCCTCCTGCTTCAGCTTCCCAAAGTGCTGGGATTACAAGCATGAGCCACTGCATCCAGACCTAAATGCCTACTTTCTTTTAACTCAGTTTTCATTCACATGAAGGAACTCCAAAAAAAATTCAAGTCTGATTATTGTGATAATGGTATAAAATGTTTGTCAAAAAATGTCATCAGTGAACTAACAAACCAGCTCCTTTCTAAATTAAAATGCTTCTGAATAATCACTATAATTTTAATATTCCATTTTAAATCTCTGTTGAAAACACTGGCCATCTATGAAAAAAAATGTAGTTATCTGGGATTGTAGATTGACCTTATTCACAAAATAAAATTTTAAATGAAAATTAAGTTTCTTGGTGACTTGCTATCTCTCAAGTGCTATTACTGATATAAGTGATTCTTTACTATACTGTATCAGATACCTTAAGGAAAGGTAATTGCCTAAAAAATAATCTGTCAAAAATATGTGCTGTTATGCACTGCGAGTAGAATCATTACATTTAATCATTTAAAGAGTTTAATTATTTTCTTTCATTTTTGGCAGTGAGATGGGGACACTTTCTCTAACATGAACACATTAAGAAGATACACATATTTTGAACAAGAGATTTTAACTTTTTATGGCAAAATTTACTGGTGTCAATTGTATTTTAATTGAGAGGTTAACACCATGTTGCTGTCTCTATTCCACTGAACAAAAATGACTTTGAAATAGAGGAAAAGAATAGCCAGTTTTAACTGGCGATAATTTTTTAAAATCACATTTTCACAACACTACAACATATGGAGATGTAGACAGTTAGTCTTTAACACAGAGTGCTGTAGTATTTTATACTGTGGTGCTTGGGGAAATATTCCTAGTGAATAACCGGCAGTCTGTGCAGGAACCAGCAGTCCACACTTCTAGGTATAAATATGGAGGACAAGCTTCTGCTCACCGCCTCAAGAGAGGTGGACTCCCGAAGGGTAGCCTGTCTCATTTTAAAACCTATACCATGAAACCAATTCCCAGTTCCTACACTCTGTTCTACCTTCATAATTTTTCTTTCTCATATATCTTTCCGCCAGCCATCCAGGCTCCTGCCAGTGATTAGCTTCCACAAGATGATCCACATTTCCCTTCTTTCACACTAAGAAGGACATCTTATAAAATATACACAGATAGAGAAGAAAGGCATTTTATACAGAAGCAGTATAAAATTTACAACTGAAGCAGTGTCAGAAATCAGGTCAACAGCTTATGTGAAGCTGCAAATTGATTGGAAGGGACTCTGAGATCAGAAAAGTCTGGCCTAAGGGTTCGTGCAAACTTTACCATAAAACTGTAGAATCTCAAGCACAAGTAAGTTCAAACACTGAAAGATGTGGAAAATTTCCTAAAAGGCAATGATAAAGGAAGAGACCCTTCTTGACTCATAAGTTTAAAATCACAAGACAAATTAGAGACTGTTCACATGGGCAGTACTACACATTATCAATCCCAAACTGATTTTATGACTCTTGTCATAGAAACCCCCAAAACATCAGGGAGGGTAAGATATTCCAAATGGACCAATCACAAAAAGGATTCCTGTGATTCAACTATCCAATACTTATGGCTATCAATTTAGTCTGGCTTGGGGCTGTTTTTTACAGGGAGGTGGCCTCCCATGGCGCACAATGTGTTTTTCTAAGCTATCCAGAATGGCCACAGCAATCTGTTGGACATGGGGATCAGTATGTTCATGATCTTTGATGTTGTATAAATGCTGCAATCCTCCTTCTTCAATCAGCATGCTGCAATACCTTGAAGCTGAAAAAGAAAAAAAAACACACACAAAACAGGAGAAATAGCTTTTCTTAAAACACTTGAAAATTATTCCACAAAAAAATGACTTCTAGGAGCCATTTTTTTTTAGCTGTTTTGTTATTGATCACTAACATGCTACAGCTTGATAAATAACCTCTATACTGATGTTACGTCTACAGTGCAAGGCCTACACATTCAATCAATAAATAGCTAGCTTGATTTTTCTAACCTCAAGACATGTACAACCTGTATTAAAAAAATAAAAACAATCATAACTACCTTATCTTTGACCCAAAATCACAGGTAAGTGTTGTTATATTTTTATGCATTTCCTATGCTTTTTTTTTTTTTTTAGACAGAGTCTTGCCCTGTTGCCCAGGCCAGAGTACAGTGGCGCAATCTCGACTCACTGCAGCCTCCGCCTCCTGGGTTCAAGCGATTCTTGTGCCTCAGCCTGGAAATACAGGCACATGCCACCACCCCTGGCTAATTTTTTTATTTTTAGTAGAGATGGGGTTTTACCATGTTGCCTAGGCTGGTCTCAAACTCCTGCCCTCAAGCAATCCTCCCGCCTCAGCCTCCCAAAGTACTAGAATTACAGGCATGAGCCATAATGCCAGGCTGCATTTACTATGCTTTTTAAAAACTTAATGGCACTCATACTGCACATACAATTTTTAAATTTTTGAAATATTTTATTAGCCTTTTTTTTTTTTTTTTTTTTTTTAAAGACAGTCTCATTCTGTTGCCCAGGCTGGGGTGATCATGGCTCATGCCCAGTGGTGTGATCATGGCTCACTGCAGCTTGCTGTGTTGCCCAGGCTGGAGTCCAATGGCACAATTTTGGCTCACTGCAACCTCTGCCTCCCGGGTTCAAGCAATTCTCCTTCCTCAGTCTCCTGGGTAGCTGGGACTATAGGCACCAGCCACCACACCTGGCTAAATTTTTGTATTTTTGGTAGAGGTGGGGTTTTACCACGCTGGCCAGTCCAGTCTCAAACTCCTGACCTTAAGTGATCTGCCTGCCTCAGCCTCCCAAAGTGCTGGGGTTACAGGTGTGAGCCACCACACCCAGCCACATTAAAACATTTTAATACAAATAGAAGTGAATTCCATTTAAATATAAACAAAATAAGCCCACAAGGTAGGAACCTAAACTATCTGAGTTGGAGACAAAATATTCTAATATTCCCCAAATTACAGTGCATTTTAGAATAAATTATTCAGGGGCTGGGCGTGGTGGCTCACACCTGTAATCCCAGCAGTTTGGGAGGCCGAGGCGAGCAGATAACGAGGTCAGGAGATCGAGACCATCCTGGCTAACGTGGTGAAACCCCGTCTCTACTAAAAATACAAAAAAATTAGCCAGGCGTGGTGGCAGGCGCCTATAGTCCCAGCTACTTGGAAGGCTGAGGCAGGAGAATGGCGTGAAGTGGGAGGCGGAGCTTGCAGTGAGCCGAGATCATGCCACTGCACTCTAGCCTGGACGACAGCAAGACTCCGTCTCAAAAAAAAAATAAAATAAAATAAAATAAATTATTCAGGGCTGTCATTCCATAGAGTAAAACCTAAATAACTCTAATACCTAAAAGTAGTGACAAAAATAAATACTCATATGAAAATGCACTATTATTATTATTATTATTATTTTTTTTTCAGACAGAGTCTCACTCTGTCGCCCAGGCTGAAGTGCAGTGGTGCGATCTCGGCTCACTGTAACCTCCACCTCCCAGTTCAAGTGATTTTCCTGCCTCAGCCTCCCTAGTAGCTGAGAGTACAGATGTGTGCCACAACCCACAGCTAATTTTTTGTATTTTTAGTAGAGATGGGGTTTCACCATGTTAGCCAGGATGGTCTCGATCTCCTGACTTCGTGATCCACCCGCCTTGGCCTCCGAAAGTGCTGGGAATACAGGCGTGAGCCACCATGCCCAGCCAAAAATGCACTATTATTTACTTATTATGTTTTATTTTCTCCTACTGAGCTGTGAAAGGTCCATTCCTTGAGTTATGAGGAAAGGAACCTATAGATTAGAGACTGGGAATATGATGGGATCAACTGTTAAGAAATTTGGGAGTCCTCAGAACCTGTGGGTACAGTAAAAAGAAAACGACTTTAGGGCAGAGACAGTTTAATGTAGCTAAAGAGGCAGTTTTCGATTTATGAGTGAACAACTCTGCTTCTGGGTAATGTAGTAGGAAGGACCGGATAAGCCTCCAGGTGGGAGTTCAGGTGGGTACAAGGCAGTTTTCTCGGTCACATCCCATTCATTGAATTATTCTTCTTTATCTGACACAGAAGAGCTTTTACTGCATTGCCTTTTTGTGGTATGCAGTGAGTTTTCATCAAACAATACAAGAGAAGGAGCTGGGTGCGGTGGCTCATGCCTGTAATCCCAGCACTTTGAGAGGCCAAGGCGGGTGAGTTCGAGACCAGTCTGGCCAAAATTGTGAAACCCAGCCTCTACTAAAAATACAAAAATTAGCTGGGCATGGTGGCGTGTTCCTGTAGTCCCAGTTACTCGGGAGGCTGAGGTAGGAGAAATGCTTGAATCTGGGAGGTGTAGGTTGTGGTGAGCTGAGATCGTGTCACTGCACTCCAGCCTGGGCAACAGAGTGAGACTCCGTCTCCAAAAAAAAAAAAAAAACCCAAGCGAAAATCTCACTAAATGTTACTACTTCTGCTATAAGGATATTAGTAAAAACAACTCTCACATATCCTATATAAGGCCCTTTATAGTATGTCCCCTATTAAGGTCCAATAGAAGAAATTTAATTCATAGTTAACTTCTCATAAAAAATTCTCTCCCCTCCCCATCTCCCCTGACAAGGATATGGAATGTTTCCCTCTTATATGGAGAACCATGTCGCTTTTTACTTGCAGCAGAGCCACAAAAATCCCTATGCATGGCCTACAAGTCTACATTTGACTATTTTCCCTCTATCCTAGAATTTTTTTTTTTCTTTTTGAGACAGAGTCTCACTCTGTCACCCAGGCCAGAGTGCATGGTGCCATCACAGCTCACTGCAGCCTTGCTTTCTGGGCTCAGATGATGCTGCCACCTCAGCCTCCCAAGTAGCTGGGACTACAGGAGCACACCACAACACCTGGCTAATTTCTTTTACATCTTTTATAGAAACTAGGTTTCGCCATGTTGCCCAGGCTGGTCTCAAACTCCCGGGCTCAAGCGATCCACTCACCTCAACTTCAGAAAATGCTGGGATTATAGGGATGAGCCATTATGCCCGGCCCCTATAATTTTTGAAAAATTATTTTTCCTTACTTCTAATTAAAACTAAAAGTAGGCCAGGCACAGTGGCTCACACCTGTAAGCCCAGCACTTTGGGAGGCCGAGGTCGGTGGATCACCTGAGGTCAGGGGTTCAAGATCAGCCCAGCCAAAATGGTGAAACCCTGTCTCTACTAAAAATACGAAAATTAGCCAGGTGTGGTGGTGCAGGCCTATAGTCCCAGCTACTCTGGAGGTTGAGGCAAGAGAATCGCTTGAACCTGGGAGGTGGAGGGTGTGGTGAGCCGAGATCGCACCACTGCACTCCAGCCTGGGTGACAAAGTGAGACTCCATCTCAAAAAAAAAAAAAAAAAAAAAAAAAAAAAAAAAAAAAAAATATATATATATATATATATATATATATATATATATATACACATATATATACACACTTTACTATTAAAGTGGTTCTGTGTATTTCTTGTGTCAAATCATTTGTGGAATGAGTTTATATTAATAAATAATTAGGCCACGCTTGATGGCTGACGCCTGTAATGCCAGCACTTTGGGAGGAAGAGGCAGGCAGATCGTTCGAGCCTAGGAGTTTGACACCAGCCTGGCCAACATGATGAAACCCCATCTCTACAAAAAATACAAAAAAAAGCCAGGTATGGTGACGTGCACTTGTAGTCCTAGCTACAAGCTGAGGCAGGAGGATCATCTGAGCCTGGACGTCAAGGTTGCAGTGAGCTGTTACTATGCCACTGCACTCCAGCTCCAGTGATAGAGACAGACCTTGTCTCTAAATAAATAAATAAGAGTTACATCGTAGCTTTCAAAGAATAATATAGAACCTGATTCAAACACTTTGCTTCTTCAGAAACCATGGGTGCTGGCAGCGACATCTTGAACAACAGAATTTTGGGTGAATGAGAATTGGGCACCGGAATGTACCATAAACAGTGGATCTACTTAAGACCTTTTACTCAACAAATGGACTCACTGTAGTCTCCTAATCTTTAAATTCCTTGAGGTGAGAACAGTGTCTCATTCACCACTATTATTCAGTGTCTAGTTACACCATGCTCATTCTGAAAGAATACCTTAAGTTGGCCGGGCACAGTGGCTTATGCCTGTAATCCCAGCACTTTGGGAGGCTTAGGCGGGCGGATCACCTGAGGTCAGGAGTTTGAGACCAGCCTGGCCAACATGGTGAAACCCCGTCTCTACTAAAAAAAAATAATAATAATACAAAAATTAGCCGGGCATGGTGGCAGGTGCCTGATATCTCAGCTACTCGGGAGGCTGAGGCAGGAGAATCGCTTGAACCCAGGAGGCGGAGGTTCCAGTGAGCCGAGATCGCGCCACTGTACTCCAGCCTGGGGAACAAGAGCGAGACTTCGTCTCAAAAAAAAAAAAAAAAAAAAAAAAAGAATACCTTAAGTTTATAACCTAAGATGGCCTTACATTTTAAGTCAGTGTTCTTAAAAATCACTTTAATACACAATTTAGAAATATCTTTCCTGGGAAATGAGAATTTCACTTAAAGAAAAAAAACACAGTTCTTTTTTTTTGGTACATACGATTCTTGCTGCAGACATGTTGCATGGCCCAAACTGCCCATAGCTGAACTCCTGGTGTTGTGAAACAGCCAAGTAATGGGAAAAATGGATTAAAGGACCTAAAGGTTCAAAAGAAAAGAATCAAAGTTACATCCCATATTTAGCGTAATTTCCTAAAGCAGTGATTCCTAAACTTTTCATTTTCAAAATTTTATCCTATTATATTTAGACTAATATAAATGAGCTATAGAATATCATTTCTTTGTCTTAACCATTTCAGAGAAGACTGCATTCAGACATGACTCAGTACAGAAGATGGAAGGTGATTAGAACATGGTAGTGAAAGAGAAAAAATTTTTCCAAAAGCACTTTTTAGTCTTAAAGATACACATTTGAAGATAAGTAGATCTTGGTTTGGAAACTAAGAAATAGAGAAATTAGGTGATAACTAACTAGTAGAACACTATGAAAAAGATGTATAATTATCCCTTCTATTTTCTACTGGTCTGAATAAAAATAGGTGGAACATAAGTTGGAGAAATAAAAAAAATGTTGGCAACATCAGCATTTATGAACCAAACAAAAAAAATAAGTTGAATAAAAATTAAATACTTCAGGTAATTAGTAATTTAATTATCAAGTTATCTAATTACAAACAGAGTTAGGCATCCAGTATGCACTTCTTAATTTTTGTTATTTATTTATTTATTTATTTTGATACGGAGTCTCGCTCTGTCGCCCAGGCTGGAGTGCAGTGGCGCGATCTCAGCTCACTGCAACCTCCGCCTCCTGGGTTCACGGCATTCTCCTGCCTCAGCCTCCCAAGTAGCTGGGACTACAGGCGCCTGCCACCACGCCCGGCTAATTTTTTTGTATTTTTAGTAGAGACGGGGTTTCACCACGTTAGCCAGGATAGTCTCGATCTCCTGACCTCGTGATCTGCCCGCCTCGGCCTCCCAAAGTGCTGGGATTACAGGCATGAGCCACCATGCCCGGCCTATTTATTTATTTTTACATTTATTTATTTATTTGAGACAGGGTCTCACTCTGTTGCTCAGGCTGGAGTGCAGTAAGGCGATCTCAACTCATTGCAGCCTCAACCTTCCAGGCTCAAGCGATTCTCCCACCTTAGCCTCCCAAGCAGCTTGGACTACAGGGATGTGCCACCACAACTGGCTAATTTTTTATTTTTTGTAGAGACGGGGTCTCACTATGTTGCTCAGGCTGAGCTCAAGTGATCTACCTGCCTTGGCCTTCCGAAGTGGTGGGACTACAGGTGTATGCCATCATGCCCAGGTTTTTTTATTTTTTAGTAGAGATGAGGTCTCACTATGATGCCTAGGCTAGTCTGCAACTCCTGAACTCAAGTGATACTACCACCTCAGTCTCTCAAAGTGTTGGGATTATAGGTGTGAGCCACCATGCCAGGCCCAGTATGCCCTTTAATAAATTATTACAAACTGTTTCCCCAACCAAATCTAGTGTTATTCCTTTTTTGAGAGTCTCATTCTGTCACCCAGGCTGCAGTGCAGTGGCGCCATCTCAGCTCACTGCAACCTCCACCTCCCAAGTTCAAGCGATTCTCATGCCTCAGCCTCCCAAGTAGCTGGAATTACAGGTGTGCACCACCATGCCCCACTAACTTTGTTCTTTCAGTAGAGACAGGGGTTTCAACATGTTGGCCAAGCTGGTCTCGAACTCCTGGATTGAAGTGATCCACCCACCTCAGCCTCCCAAAGTGCTGGGATTATAGGCATGAGCCACAATGCCTGGCCCAAATCTGGTGCTACTTCTAATTCCTTCAATGTGTCATTTTATTTTAGACCTTCCTACATTAATACGATGCTTTTTCTTCCTAAAAATCTCCTGCCTCTCCTTATCTTTCAACACTCAGGTCACAACTCACTTCCTCTGAAAGGTGTGTGTGTGTGTGTGTGTGTGTGTGTATTTACATTTGGAGTCTTGCTCTGTCACTCAGGCTGGAATGCAGTGATGCAATCATAACTCACTGCAGCCTCAAACTCCTGGGCTCAAGTGATCCTCCCAGGACTACAGGTATGTGCTACCCCACTGGGCTTCACCTTTAATTTCATAACATTCTATGGACATTTGGCATAACGGTATTTTATCTGATCCACATTCACTCTCCCTCACAAGGATATAAAATTCTTGTGTGCAGACACCATGTCTTTGTTCATTTTTGTATTTCAAGAGCATAGAACAAATTCCTAGCACTTGTCTTCAACAAATGTGAAATGAAGGAAACATGAAGAGTGATAGGTGGTAGAAAAAAGTCAAAATACTTTGCTTCTTTTAAAGCCAATACTTTTGGCTGGGTGTGGTGGCTCACGCCTGTAATCCCAGCACTTAGGGGGGCCCAGGCAGGCAGATCACCTGAGGTCAGGAGTTCAAGACCAGCCTGGCCAACATGGTGAAACCTCGTCTCTACTAAAAATACAAAAATTAGCGGGGCGTGGTCGTGGGCGCCTATAATCCCAGCTACTCGGGAGGCTGAGGCAGGGGAATTGCTTCAACCTGGGAGGTGGAGGTTGCAGTGAGCCAAGATCATGCACTGCACTCCAGCCATGGCGACGGAGTGAAACTCTGTCTCAAAATAAATAAATAAATAACCAATATTGAGGTGCCTGAGGGAAAAATTATGCATCTAGTAGGAATGACTCTTAGGAATGATCTCTAGACTAGGTTGCTGGTTTACTGTTAATTATGATACTAATTACCTGTATGCTACCATCTCACACTCTGGAGTTGGCCATTTCAAAATAGCTGAATGCTGGAAGACAAAAGACACACAAGAAAGGATTACAATATTTATTTAGCACTGCATTATTTACTACATTATGAGGCTTTGATAGTTTAACCACTATGAATGTCTTTTGTTGGTATGGAATGACCCTACCAAATCATCCAGCAGAGAATTCCTCTGGCTACGACTCAATGTCCAAGCTTGTTCACCTCTGGATATTAAATGGGCAATAATTCCAGCTGCAAAGTAACTGACTTCCACTTCCACACTGTGTAGGAGACTACTGATGTGGTCTATAAAATCTTTCCACATTAATTCAGAATGTAATTCTTGTACTTCAGCTATATTGTTCTGGAAAAAAAAAAGAAAATATAAAAATTAATGTAATATGTATAGTAAATGGTTAAGATAACTGTTTTTAGGCCCTGGATAACAGGCAATTCAGGAAGGTGAAAGAAAAGTATTTCCCTGAGAGAAAGTATTCAAATGAGGGCAGTTTACAGACTGCAATGAAGGTAAGAGTAAGCCAAAGACAAAGTAGCAGTTTTGTTGAAACAGAGATCATAGTTTAGGGTGGTCAAGCAGCAAAACTCTGTAGAACAGAGTGCTGGAAAGGACAAAGCTCCACACTCAGAGACAGAGCACACATGACCTGTACCCCAAATCTCTGGCTCAGTAATGACAAGGGTGAAACTCCAGGAGGCTAGGGAAAGAACTACCAGAAAGTAGTATATGAATAAATCCTAAAGTCACACAGGGATAGGAGTAGTTCACATTTCCACTAGCCAGACTCAAGAGACCTTATAATAAGCAAAGTATTTGATAGTAGTAGGGCTAAATTATATATGAACCGTAGGGTAAAGTCTGATAAGACGCCACTCTAACAAAACAAATAAATAGGGCTGGGTGTGGTGGCTCATACCTGAGAGGTTGGGAGTTTAAGACAAGCCTGGCCAACATGGAGAAAGCCCGTCTCTACTAAATACACAAAAATTAGCCAGGTGTGGTGGTGCATGCCTGTAATCTCAGCTACTTGGGAGGCTGAGGCACGAGAGTCACCTAAACCCGGGAGGCAGAGGTTACAGTGAGCTGAGATCCCACCACTGCACTCCAGCCTGGGAGACAGAGTGAGATGCCATCTCAAAACAAACAAACAAACAAACAAACAAACAAACCCAAAACAGCCAAGCATGGTGGTTCATGCCTGTAATCCCATCACTTTGGGAGGCTGAGGCAGGCAGATCACCTGAGGTCAGGAGTTCGAGACCAGCCTGGCCAACATGGAGAAACCCCATCTCTACTAAAAAAATAGAAAAATTAGCTGGGCGTGGTGTCATGTGCCTGTAATCCCAGCTACTCGGGAGGCTGAGGCAGGAGAATTGCTTGAACCTGGGAGGTGGAGGCTGCAGTGAGTGGAAATCGTATCACTGCACTCCAGCCTGGGCAACAGAGCGAGACTCCGTCTCACAAAGAAATAATAATAAAAATAAAATAAAATAAAATAACACATAAACAAGCTTCAAGAAGAGCAACTTGATCTGCAAGTAACTGCATGCAAGAACAAAGTATAAGACTCTTTAGAGAAAAATAATAAAACCTAGCAATCACCAAGTTACATTTCACAAGGACCGGCATCCAATAAAAAAATTACCAGGCATACAAAGGGGCAGAAAAATATGATTCATAACCAGGAGAAAAATCAATCCAAAGAAATGGACTAAAAAATAACAGAGATAATAGAATTAGCAGACAAGGACTTAAAGCAGCTATTATAAATATTATAAATATAATTCAGACATAAACATGAAGGGAGAAAATGAAGACATAAGAAAGACCTAAATGTAAATTTTTTTTTTTTTAGATGGAGTCTCGCTCTCGCCCAGGCTGGAGTGCAGTGGCGCGATCTCAGCTCACTGCAAGCTCCGCCTCCCAGGTTCACACCATTCTCCCGCCTCAGCCTCCCGGGTACCTGGGGCTACAGGCAACCGCTACCATGCCTGGCTAATTTTTTTGTATTTTTAGTAGAGACGGGGTTTCACCATGTTAGCCAGGATGGTCTCAATTTCCTGACCTCGTGATCCGCCCGCCTTGGCCTCCCAAAGTGCTGGGATTACAGGCATGCGCCACCGCGCCTGGCCAACCTAAATGTAAATTATAGAAATTAAAAAAAAAACAAAACTAAGTATCTGAAAAGCAAAATATATTGGATGAGATTAACAGCAGATGAGATGCTTCCGGAAAAACAATCAGTGGACTAAACAACAGAGAAATAAAAAGCATCCATGGCAGGGCATGCTGATTTACACCTGTAATCCCAGCACAGGAGGTTGAGGTGGGAGGATCACTTCAGGCCAGGAGTTCAAAACCAACCTGGGCAACATAGGGAGACCCTGTCTCTATTCACACACACAAAAAGAAATAGAAACCATCCAAATCAAAGCACAGAAGAAAAAATCAGACTGGGGAAAAAAGCCAATAGTGGAGTTCTGGGACCTGTGGGATAATGTCGAGAAGTCTAACATGCTTATAACTGAAGTCATAGAAGAAGCAGAGATTAGAGAGGGTATGAAAAAAGGTATTTGCAGAAATAATGGCCAAATTTTTGCAAAATGTGATAAAAATTATAAACCCAAAGATTCAACAGAAAAAAATTGTCCACTTAGACTTCAATAGCCAACCAAAAATTTATCATTCAAAAAATCAAAGCAAAATAAAAAACTTTGTTAGGTAAACAACACGTGAGTGAGAAGTCATTGCTAGCACACCTATAGGATAATAAATGTAAGAAAAGAATAGAATGAGAAATGTGAGTAAATATGAAAGATAAATTTCTCTTTTTTTTTTTTTTTTTTTGAGACGGAGCCTTGCTCGGTCGCTCAGGCTGGAGTGCAATGGCAGGATCTCAGCTCACTGCAACTTCCGCCTCCTTGATTCAAGTGATTCTCCTGCCTCAGCCTCTGAGTAGTTGGGATTACAGGCAGCCACCACCATGGCCAGCTAATTTTTATATTTTTAGTAGATACAGGGTTTCGCCATGTTGGCCAGGCTGGTCTTGAACTCCTGACCTCAGGTGATCCGCCCGCCTTGGCCTCCTAAAGTGTTGGGATTACAGGTGTGAGCCACCCTGCCCAGCCAATTTCTTGTTTTTAAATTGAGGAATGATGAGCACTCCTGCTTCTGGCCAAGGTGGAGTAAAAACAGATTTACACATCTGCCTGAAACAACTAAAAAATCCAAATAAATATGGAAAAACAGTTCTCAAGATACTGGTCACAAGCAATAAAGGACAGTGACTCTCAGTGTCCTTTACTGGATGGAAAACAAAGTGAGCTATTGCCTTTAAAGTTTCCAGGCTGTAGCACAGGGATACAGACCTGAAGCAGAGCTCAGTAGACTGAATGGAGTAGGAGATGAGGTGAACAGTCCACAGAGATGAAGGTAACTCACAGGACAGAACACCAGGGAGAAGGGAATTTGCACATAAAGTGAGTCCAGCCATCTGTAGAGTCCCACTCTATTCAGCAGAGTAATGATAATAAAATGAACACAAGGAAGCTGAGGGCAGGAAAATAACCATCTAAAGAGTTAGAGAAAAGTGCATAGTGCTCACAGAGGGCCAGGAATAGTGCATGTTCTCACATATTCTCATCACCCAGTATGGAAAAACCTTTCATTCACAAGGCACTGGGTAGAGTCCTCAGGAAGGTCTTGTTTCAGTAGCAGAGAATAATTAGCCATAGCCTGACCACTGCTCTGGAACCTCCTAATAAATCATAAAAAGCAAGTGATCAAAGTGATCAAAATGTTTAAAAGTAAGTTAACTGCATCCCAGAACAAAGTTCAAGAATATTCATAGAAAAACAAAAATATTCAGCAACCAAGAAGGTAAAAATTCACAATGTCTGGCATTCAATCAAAAACTACCAAGCAGAATGGGAGAAAACATTTGCAAGACATATATCTGATAAGGGATTAATATCCAGAATATATAGAGAACTCCTAAAATACAACAACAAAAACACAAACAACCCAATTTAAAAATGGGCAAAGGAATTGAATAGATATTTCTCCGAAGAAGACATACAAATGGCCAATAAACCCATACAAATATACTCAACACCACTTATCATCAGAGAAATGCAAACAAAAACTACAAGATACTGTCTCAGACCCATTAGAATGGCTACTATTAAAAAAAAAGGAAAATAACAAGCGGTGAGAATGTGGAGAAATCGGAACCCTTGGACACTGTTGGTGGGAATGTAAAACAGTAGAGCTGTTGTGGTAAACAGTATGGTAGTTTCTCAAAATTTAAAAATAGAATTATCATGATACAGTAATTCTATTTCTGGAACTATACCCCATAAAATTCAAAGTAGAGTCTTAAAAGAGATATTTGTGGCCGGGCGCGGTGGCTCACACCTGTAATCCAGCACTTTGGGAGGCAGAGGCAAGCGGATCACCTGTATGATTCCACTTACATGAAGTAGTTAAGGAGTTAAAATCATAGAGACAGAAAATAGAATGGTGGTTACCAGGGCCTGCAGAATGGGGGAATGGAATAGTATTGTTTAATGGTTACAGACGTTCAGTTTTACAAGATGAAAACAGTTACAGAGATGAGTGGTAGTGATGGTTCTACAACATTATAAAAGTATTTAATACCACTGAACAATACACTTAAAAATGGTTAAGATGGTAAATTTTACGTTGTTTACCACAATTTAAAACATAATAAATTTTTTAAAAAGTAAATTAAAACCTAAGCATGCCAAGTATCAGGAAAACATAATTCATAATGAGGAGAATAATCACTTGAAATTGACCCTGAACTGACACAGATACTAAATAAAACTAGCCGATTAGGATATTAAAAGAGTTATTAAAATTTTATTTCATATATTCAAAAAGTAGTAACACGGAAGATACAAAAAACACCTAAATTGAACTTGTAGAGATGAAAATGACAATGTCTAAGATGAAAAAATCTACCAGATGGCATTGTAGCAGATTAGATATTGCAGATGAAAAAAAATATTGAACTGAAGGCATAGCAAGGGAAACTATCCAAACTGAAACACACAGAATACAAAAGAACAAAAACATTAAAGAGCATCAGTAACATGTGGGACAATGTCAAGCAGCTTAACATGTGCAAATTAGCGTCTCCAAAGGACTCCAATATGGGGAAAAGGGCTGCAAAATTTATTTTAGGGAAATGGGCAGGTCACAGTGGCTTACTCCTGTAAGCCCAGCACTTTGGGAGGGCAAGGTGAGAGAATCACTTGAGGCCAGGAGTTTGAGACCAGCCTGGACAATACAGCAAAATCCCATCTGTACAAAAATATTTTAAAAAGAAATAATGGCTAAAAACTTTCCAAACTTGATGAAAACTATAGACCTATATATCTGAGAAGCTCAATAAATCCCAAATATAGGAAACATGAAGTTAATTACATCAAGACACATATAATCAAATATTCAAAATTGTTACTAATCTTAAATCTTTTTTTTCTTTTTTTGAGATGGAGTTTCGCTCTTGTTGCCCAGGCTGGAGTGCAATGGCGTGATCTCGGCTCACTGCAACCTCCGTCTCCTGGGTTCAAGCGATTCTCCTGTCTCAGCCTCCCGAGTAGCTGGGGTTACAGGCACCTGCCACCACACCCAGCTAATTTCTGTTATTTTGAGAAGAGATGGAGTTTCGCCATGTTGGCCAGGCTGGTCTCGAACTCCTGACCTTAGGTGATCCACCCGCCTTGGCCTCCCAAAGTGCTGGGATTCCACGCGTGAGCCACCGTGTCCGGCCAACTAATCTTAAATCTTAAAAGTAGCCAGAGGAAAAGAACGTGTACATACATAAGTACAAAGATAATGATGACATCAGATTTTTCATTAGAAAGAAGCAAGTCAGAAAAAAGCTAATCAGTATCTTTAAAGCAATGTCAATTTAGAATTATATACCTGGTAAAAGTATCTTTCAAAAACAAAGGTTAAGTAAAGATGTTTTCAGTCAGACAAAAGCTGAAGAATTCATCATCAGCAGATCCACACTGTAAGAAATGTTAAAGGATGTCTTTTAGGTTGAAGAAAAATGACACCAGGCTATGGTGGTGCACACCTATAATCCCAACACTTTGGGAGGCCAAGGTGGGTGGATCACTTGAGTTCAGGAGTTCAAGACCAGCCTGGGCAACATGGCGAAAACCCATCTCTACAAAAATTTAAAAATTAGTCGGGCATGGTAGTGTGCGCCTATAATTCCAACTACTCAGGAAGTTGAGGTTGGGGAATTGCTTTAGCCCAGGAGGTCGAGGCTGCAGTGAGCTGAGATCATGCCACTGTACTCCAGCCTGGGTGACAGAGTGAGAACCTGTCTCAAAAAAAAAAAAAAAAAAGTACTCTTAGCAATTCTGAACTATACATTATTATTAATTTAGGGATTATAGGTGTGAGCCACTGCACCCAGCCAAGAGTAAATTTTAAATGCTCTCACTACAAAAAACAGTAAGTATGTAAGGTCATGGATATGTTAATTAGCTTGATTTAATCATTCCACAGTGATTAAACACATCACAACATCACATTGGGCTGGGATGGTGCCTCACGCCTGTAATCCCAGCACTTTGGGAGGCCGAGGCTGGTGGATCACTTGAGGTCAGAAGTTCGTGATCAGCCTGGACAACATGGTGAAACCCAGTCTCTACTTAAAAAAAAAAGGCCGGGCGCGGTGGCTCACGTGAGTCTGTAATCCCAGCACTTTGGGAGGCTGAGGCGGGCAGATCATGAGGTCAGGAGTTTGAGACCACCCTGGCCAACATGGCAAAACCCCATCTCTACTAAAAATACAAAAATTTGCCGGACACAGAGGCAGGCGCCTGTAATCCCAGCTACTGGGGAGGCTGAGGCAGGAGAATCACTTGAACCCGGGAGGTGGAGGTTGCAGCGAGCTGAGATCACACCACTGCACTCTAGCCTGGGCAACAGAGCAAGACTCCGTCTCAAAAAAAAAAAATTACATTGTACTCCACATACACAATTATTATTTTTATTATTTAAAAAAATTTAAAAATCACAGGAAATGTAAATGATCCAAATACCCCAAATAAAAAACAGATATTTTCAAACTAGATGAAAAAGCAGGATGCAAGGTATATGCTATCTACAAGAAATACATTTTAAATATAAAGACAAATATAGGTTAAAAGTAAAAGGATAAAACAAGAAATGCTATGCTAACACTAGTCAAAAGAAAGTACAAATGGCTATATCAGTATCAAAGCAGACTTCAAAGTAGAGGATATTAGCAGGGGTAAAGAAAGTCATTTGGTAACGGTAAAAGAGTCCATTAAACAGGAGGACATAATTCTAAATGTTTATACATCTAATAATACAGTTTCAAAATACATGAAGAAAAAGCTGATAGAACTGTAAGGAGAAACATACATCTACAATTACAGTCAGAGATTTCAAAACTCCTTTGTCAATAATTGATAGAACAGGTAGGCAGAAAATTAGAAAGGATGTGGTAGAATTGTACAGTATCAACTGTGACACTGTACAATCTAATTATTAATTAGTGTTAATTAATCAAGCTAATTAACAATCAGTGACCTGATTGTCATTTATAGAACACTATACCCAATAATAAGACAATACACATTCCTCTCAAGTGTACATGGAATATTTACCAAAATAGACCATATCCTTGGCCATTCACAAGTCTCAATAAATTCAGAAGGACTCAAACCAAACAAAGCATATTCTCTGACCATAAATAATTAAATTAGAATAAATATCTCAAATTAAATTATTGAAAAAATTTAATCACAAGGTAACAGAGAAAAATATGGAAGGAAACATATAAAGTTATATTAATATTAATAACTTCATGGAGATAAAAATGACGAAAGGTTGGAGACAGAGCCTTAAGGATGTTAAATACAGTTTTGCACTGTTTCACTAGTTATAACAACATGTATTCCTTTGGAAATTTAAAAAAATATATAGGTTTTTTTTTGAGATGAAGTCTTTTTTGTTTTGTTTTGTTTTTGTTTTCTGAGACAGAGTTTTGCTCTGTTGCCCAGGCTTGGAGTACAGTGGCGTGATCTTGGTTCACTGCAGCCTCTGCCTCCCAGGTTCAAGCAATTCTCCTGCCTCAGCTTTCCGAGTAGCTGGGACAGGCATGGGCCACCACGGCTGGCTAATTTTTGTATTTTCAGTGGAAACGGGGTTTCACCATGTTGGCTAGGCTGGTCTTGAACTCCTGACCGCACGTGATCCACCCACCTCAGCCTCCCAAAGTGCTGGGATTACAGGCATGAGCCACTGCACCCAACCCACAAATATTTAAAATAAATTTCACCTTTCCGTTTCAGATGACCTGAGCCAACTTCTGTATCAAATAATCATATTAACCCTGAAAAAACAATCAAATGCTGTAATTTATTTAATAATTCCTCTATTACTGGACATTTAGGTTGTTTTCCATTTTCTACCTTATATAATGAAGGCTACAACAACAGATAGGTCTTCCTTAAATGGCAGTCCTCAGCTTTCCTAAAAATCCAT
Organism: Homo sapiens; assembly: GCF_000001405.40. Taxonomy (NCBI): domain Eukaryota; kingdom Metazoa; phylum Chordata; class Mammalia; order Primates; family Hominidae; genus Homo; species Homo sapiens. The sequence continues at coordinate 52,805,318 of NC_000001.11, read as the reverse complement.
CTCCTCACTGCTTGCATGTGGAAAACAAGCTCCAATTTACATTTTTTAACTCACTAATCTATGCCTCCCATAATCTAATTCCTTGAGAGCAGAGGTCTGCTTTTTTGTGCTCACTTGACAGCATATATACTAAAATTGGAACGGTACAGTGAAGATTAGCATGACCCCTGTGCAGGGATACATGTAAATTTGCAAAGTGTTCCATTTTTTTTTTTTTTTTTTTTTTTGAGACAGAGTTTTGCTCTTGTTGCCCAGGCTGGAGTGCAATGGTGCGATCTCGGCTCACAGCAACCCCCGCCTCCCGGGTTCAAGTGATTCTCCTGCCTCAGCCTCTCGAGTAGCTGGGATTACAGACATGCGCCACCACGCCCGGCTAATTTTGTATTTTTAGTAGAAACGAGACTTCTCCATTTTGGTCAGGCTGGTCTCGAACTCCCGACCTCAGGTGATCTGCCTGTCTCAGCCTCCCAAAGTGCTGGGATTACAGACATGAGCCACTGCACCTGACCAATATTTTTTTCAAAAATAAAAAATAAAATAAAATGGCTTTTGCCACATAGACACTTTGCCTGTTACAGCAATTAAGCTGATAAAACATTTGATCTTTACCTTTGTCTCAAAATCCTAGAGGGCTTACTTTAATCCATATCCAATATGTTAAGAAATATGTGATTTGTAAGCAGGCTTTTGTTTTTTGTTTTTTTTTCTGAGACCGTCTCACCCTGTTGCCCAGGCTAGAGTGCAATGGTGCAATCTCGGCTCACAGCAACCTCCACCTCCCAGGTTCAAGCGATTCTCATGCCTCAGCCTCCTGAGTAGCTAGGATTATAGGCATGTACCAGCACACCTGGCTAACTTTTGTATTTTTAATAGACATGGGGTTTCACTATGTTGGGCAGGCTGGTCTCAAACTCCTGACCTCAGGTGACCCGCCTGCCTCACCCTCCCAAAGTGCTGGGATTACAGGCTTGAGCCACTATACTCGGCCTTCGTAAGCAGTCTTTAAGTAGTAATCATTAACTATCAAACACAGACTCTAAGAACACTTGTAGGTTAATGACTTTTTTTTTTAAGAGACTGGGTCTCACTCTGTCACCCAGGCTGGAGTGCAGTAGGATGAGCACAGCTCACTGCAGCCCTCAAACTCCTAGGGTCAAGTGATCCTCCTGCCTGAGCCTCCCCACTAGCTGGGACTACAGGTACATGTCACCATGTTCAGCTAATTTTCTTATTTCACTTTTTGTAGAGATGGGGTTGTGCTTCGTTGCCCAGGCTGGTCTCAAACTCCTAGGCTCAAGCAATTCTCTCACCTCATCCTTCCAAAGTGTTGGGATTACAGGCATGAGTCACTGTGTCCAGTCTGATAACATTTTTTAATGAGATCTGGTTTACCAATTATAAAAGTGAAACACAAGGCCAAGTGTGGTGGCTCATGCCTGTAATCCCAGCACTTTGGGAGGCCAAGGCAGGAAGACTGCTTGAGCCCAGGAATTTGACACCAGCCTGGGCAACATGGTGAGACTGCAAATCTACAAAAATAAATAAACAAATAAGCTGGGCATGGTGGCACATGCCTATAGTCCTAGCTACTCTGGAGGCTAAGGTGAGAAGATTGCTTGAGTCTGGCAGGTCAAGGCTGCAGTGAGCCGTGATTGTGCCACTGCACTGCACAATGGGCAACAGAGTGACAGACTCTGTCTCAAAAATAAATTTAAAAAAGTAAAACATGCTCAGTGTGAAACTTTGTACAATACCAAAAAATATAAAGAAGCATATGCGTATTATATTTTTCCTTTTAATGTGGCAAAAATCTTTATATATAAATATATATATACACACACACACACATATATGTGTTGTGGTTTTTTTTTTTTTTCTTTTGAGATGGAGTTTCGCTCTTATTGTCCAGGCTGGAGTGCAATGGCGTGGTCTCAGCTCACTGCAACCTCCGCCTCCCAGATTCAAGCAATTCTCCTGCCTCAGCCTCCCAAGTAGATGGGATTATATGTATATATATGTGTATATATATATATATATATGTGTGTGTGTGTGTATATATATATATATATGTGTGTGTGTATATATATATGTGTGTATATATATATATGTGTGTGTATATATATATATGTGTATATATATATATATGTGTGTATATATATATGTGTATATATATATATATGTGTGTATATATATATGTGTGTATATATATATATATATATGTATATATATATGTGTATATATATATATATAGTGGCAAAAATAAAAAATAAAAAAAAAATAAAGTTGTAGGGTTTTTTTTGAGACGGAGTCTTGCTCTGTTGCCCAGGCTGGAGTGCAGTGGTGTGATCTTGGCTCACTGCAATCTCCACCTCCTGGGTTCAAGCAATTCTCCTGCCTCAGCCTCCGGAGTAACTAGGACTACAGGCGCGTGCCACCGCACCCAGCTAATTTTTTGTATTTTTAGTAGAGACGGGGTTTCACCGTGTTAGCCAGGATGGTCGTGATCTCCTGACCTCGTGATATATTTTTATAGTCTTTTTAAATTTAATAACATTTATTTTCCAATGTCATTGTTTACAAGTATCACAGCAGCAACTTTCTTTCTTTCTCTCTCTCTCTCTCTCTTTCTTTTTTTGTTCATTCGCCTAGAAATTGTCAAAAATTGCCACTGCTGACCAGGCAGCTCATGCCTATAATCCCAGCACTTTGGGAGGCCGAGGTAGGAGGATTGCTTGAGCTCAGGAGTTTGAGACCATCCTGGGCAACATGGCAAAACCCCATCTCTACAAAAAATACAAAAATTAGCTGGGCATTGTGGTGCACACCTATAGTCCCACCTACTAGGGAGACTGAGTTGGGGGAACTGCTTGAGCTCAGCAGGAGGTCGAGGCTGCAGTGAGCTGTGATCACACCACTGCACTCCAGCCTGGGCAACAAAGTGAGACCCTGTCTCAAAAAAAAAAAAAAAAAAAAAAAAAGAGAGAAAGAAAGAAATTGCTATTGCAGACCATATTTCAAGTCATCATGGTGAGGTATTGGGAATAGTTCTCAATTAGCAATGACCGTGCCTTAGATAAGGGGCTATGATACTGCCACTGCAGAGCTGCAACTTTCAATGTGTTACTTCAGACAGAAAATAAATATAGCTTGGAACTTAGCAGGAAGTGCTTATATCTTACCAAAAGTCCTAGAACTTTCTGCTGAATGGATGACTCAGTTGGGAAAGACTGTAAAAAGAAAAAGAAACCTATAATTACCTGAAGAACCAAATATAAAATAAATGCTAAAGTAAATAAATTAATAAATATCAAAACTGTAAGCTAAATTCCCATTCTAACCTCTAGAACCCTCATGAAGAGTTCTAACCCTTGGTTTTCAATAAAGTGTCTACAAGTGGTTGGAGATTCATCTGTGAGGTTCCAAAGTGCACTCAAAGTAAATTTCAATGTAGTGTCCACTGAATTTTGATTGGTTTTCTGCTTCACTATTTGAAGAAGTTGCTGAAAAAAAAAAAAACAGAAATAAGTTTTCACTTTTGAACTGTTATTACAATTTGTGGTGATTAATAACCCCAAGTCCATGAGGATTAGTCTCATGGCTTAAAGCATTTCCTGTAAAGGTACTTATAACAAACAGCCCCTTGGACTGAACTTTTCTTCAAGAAAAATGTATAAGATTTTCATAAATACTTCTATATTATTCTGATCATATCTATAATGTAATCACCCATAAATAACATAGGCAAAATGATTAAAACTTCGGTCAACTATCTTATTCAGTCACAGCATATACTTATTTTAGATTCTAGAATTAAAAAGGCAAAGGAAAAGAAGGGCAAATGAAGCTAACATTTATTAAGGATTAGCAAATTATATTCTATATTGTAGTACTGTTATTCCCATTTTTTAGGAGAGAAAATTGAGTCTGAGAAATATTAACTAATTTGTTCATAGTCAATTTAGTCAGAGAAAGTAAGAATAGGAAGACCTAATCTATCCAACTCCAAGTTTTCCTTAAGAAAAAAAAGAAAGGAAAAACTACATACAATAAAAGAATTAGTCTATGTTGACTATAAATAAGATAATAGCCCCTCCCTCCTCAGCCTTCCCTGAGAGCAGATGCTGCAGTACCTCTGTCTTCCTTTTTCTTATTTTTCCCCCTTTCCCCTTCCCTTTTTATTTCCTTTTCCCCTTCCTCCCTTTCAAAAAAACAAGAAGATAATAGCTTTGAAATTCCAGGTGCAAATTAGTTCTATCATAGCTTTACCCTAAAAAATTTATGTTTGAAAAGTAAGTGGTTTTAAAACTACATAAGGCATCCATAATTCAATTTTTAGATTATACTTTTGGAGGTAAAAAAGGAAGCTCTGTTAAAACAGATATAAGAAAACATTAATGAACATAATACTAGTGGCTATACACAATTCAGGAAAAAAAACTGAAGAAACATAAACATGTAGGTATAGTTAGGTATCACTACTATTACTAATTCCTTTTTTTTAATTTTTTTGGGACAGAGTCTTGCTGTTTTGCCCAGGCTGGAGTGAAGTGGCGCAATCTCAGCTCACTGCGACCTCCACCCCCCCGGGGTTCAAGTGATTCTCTGTCTCAGCCTCCCAAGTAGCTGGGATTACAGGCGCATGCCACCACACCTGGCTAATTTTTATATTTTTAGTAGAGATGGCGTTTCACCATGTTGGCCACACTGGTCTCGAACTCCTGATCTCAGGTAATCCACCCACCCCGGCCTCCCAAAGTGCTAGGATTACAGGCATGAGCCACTGTGCCCAGCCTACTAATTCCTTCTTTAAGCTCGATTTCCTCCCAAAGCATATGAGTAGATTTCCTAAAAAACCTTTGAAGATACCAAAATTACTGAGGTACATATATAGCAATAAGAAGTCATTTTTTAAAACTGTCACCCCTGAAAACAGTAAAATAAACAAAATAAGCATCTTTTTCTACTTATCTAATGTATATTATATTTAGTGTTACGTACTTAGCATATACTACCTCAGTTAATCATTTTTCTTTTTTTTTTTTTGACATGGAATCTCACTCTATCACTCAGGCTGGAGTGCAGTGACACAATTATAGTTCGCTGTAGACTTGAACTCCCAAGCTCAAGCGATCCTCTTGCTTCAACCTCCTGAGTAGCTGAGACCACAGGTGCATGTCACCAAGCCCAGCTAATTTTTTTTTTTTTATTAGAGCCAGAATCTTGCTATGTTGACCATGCTGGTCTCAAACTCCTGGCTTTAAGTGATCCTCCCACCTCAGCCTCCCAAAGTTCTGGGATTACAAGCATGAGCTTTTCTTTTCATTTAATCTTCATAATAACTGTATTAAGTCCTTTTTATCACCCCAAAGAAAACTGTGATTTGCCCAAAATACATGGCTAGTAAGAGACATAACTGAAAATAAATCCAGATATGTCAACTCCAGAATTCCTACCCTTTTCATTATTCCCGAATAGCCTTCTCTCTCTTTATAACATTACTTTTTTTCCTTTTTCTTCTTTTTTTGAGACGGAGTCTCACTCTCTTGGCCAGGCTGGAGTGCAGTGGCCCAGTCTCGGCTCACTGCAACCTCCACCTTCCCGATTCAAGCGATTCTCCTGCCTTAGCCTCTTGAGTGGCTGGGATTACAGATGCGTACCACCACACCTGGCTAATTTTTGTATTTTTAAGTAGAGATGGGGTTTCACCATGTTTGACACCATGAGGCTGGTGTCGAACTCCTGACCTCGTGATCCGCCCACCTCAACCTCCCAAATTACAGGCGTGGGCCACTGTGCCCAGCTATTTTTTTCTTTCTTTTGTTTTTTTTTTTTGAGACAGAGCCTTGCTCTGTCGACCAGGCTGGAGTGCAGTGGCATTATCTCGGCTCATTGGAAGCTCCACCTCCTGGGTTCACATCATTCTCCTGCCTCAGCCTCCCGAGTAGCTGGGACTACAGGCGCCTGCCACCACACCTGGCTAATTTTTTGTATTTTTAGTAGAGACGGGGTTTCACTGCATTAGCCAGGATGGTCTCGATCTCCTGACCTTGTGATCCACCCGCCTCGGCCTCCCAGATTGCTGGCATTACAGATGTGACCCACCATGCCCGGCCTATTTTTTTCATTCTTATCTCTATTATTATACTTTTTAGATTTTGTTACAACCATATCTACATAGCTATTTTTTTTCTATTGCACTGTTATGGGTAGAATTTATAGATATAACTCAGTGTGAATTATAATTACATAATTATAATTCAGTGTAAATTCCCTAACATCTAGTAAGGTAGCAAGTATCATTCATTTGATATCATGGGTACTTTATACATATTTATCAAATGAATGGTTTACTTTCTCATTACATACATAATTTATGTCATGGAAAAAGGGAGTCTCTTATTTGACTTTTCCATGTAGTATTACTATTCAAACACCTCATGCCAGGATTTTAACAGGCATGTTTAAATATACTTTTTGCCTCTAAGTCTTCCCTAAGACATTGTTTATATCTACTCCCTTTAAAGCTGTTTAAAGTTTTCGTGGTTTACTAGTCTTATTTCCTCAACTGATTGTAACCAAGCAAAATCATGTATCTGCTTCCCCAAAGCATACAGCACAACCTTATGCCTGTAACAGAGTCTCTACATTTTCTATATAAATAACAAAAATCACAGAGTTTTAGAATTAGATAGGTGTTTTGTATTTTTGGAGACAGGGTCTTGCTCTGTCACCCAGGCTGGAGTGCAGTGGCGTCATCACGGCTAACTGCAACTTTGACCACTTGGGCTTAAGCAATTCTTCCACCTCAGCCTCTTGCGTAGCTGGGACCACAGACATGTGCTACCATGGCTGGCTAATTTTTAAATTATTTGTATAGATGGGGTCTCATATTGCTCAGGCTGGTCTTGAACTCCTGGGCTCAAGCAACCCTCCTGCCTTGGCCTCCCAAAATGCTGGGATTACAGGCATAACCACTGTGCTTGGCCTTAGATAGGATCTTAACACTTATGTAGACCCCAATGGTTCAAGTAATTTTCCCAAATTCACAAAGTGAGTTTACAAGCTAGATCCTAGGTCATCTGACTCCTAGGTCAGGGCTTTTTCCATTTCTGTTAAGGAGTAAAGCTGCATATATGAAAAGAAATAAATTCACTTCTTTACAAATAACCAAAAAAAAATTTTTTGTTGTTTGTTTTGAGAACGGGTCTCACTCCATCACCCAGGCTGGAGTGCAGTGACATGATCACGGCTCACTGCAGACTTGACCTCCTGGGCTCAAGTGATCCTCCCACCTCAGCCTCTTGAGTAGTTGGAACCACGGGCATGTGCCACAATGTCCAATTTTTTTTTTTTTTGGTAGAGAAGGAGTCCCATTAGATTGCCCAGACTGTTCTTGAACTCCTGGCCTCAAGTGATCCCCTCCTGCCTTGGCCTCCCAAAGTGCTGGGATTACAGGTGTGGGTCACCGCATGCCTAGCCACAAAAAATTTTTATTAAAATATAAAATGTTGGCCGGGCACGGTGGCTCACGCCTGTAATCCCAGCACTTTGGGAGGCCGAGGTGGGCGGATCACAAGGTCAGGAGATCGAGACCATCCTGGCTAACATGGTGAAACCCTGACTCTACTAAAAATACAAAAAAATTAGCCGGGCATGGTGGCAGGCGCCTGTAGTCCCAGCTACTCGGGAGGCTGAGGCAGGAGAATGGCGTGAACCTGGGAAGCGGAGCTTTCAGTGAGCCGAGATCGTACCACTGCACTCCCAGCCTGGGCGACAGTGCGAGACTCTGTCTAAAAAAAAATATATATATATATTTTTATATATTATACATATTATATATCATATATAATATATATATCATATATGATATATAATATATATGTTATATATAATATGTATAATATATGATATATATTTCATATATGATATATATGTATTATATATTATATATTATATGTATTATATATAATATATAATTATAAATATATAATATATATATTATATGTATATATTTATATTATATTTTATATATAATATAAATATTTTATATATAATATAAATATATATTATATATACAAATTTATATTATATAATATATATTTATATATTATATATAAATAATTTATATATAATATATAAATATATATAATATATAATATATAAATATATAATATATAATATATAAATATATAATATATAATATATAAATATATACAATATGTAATATATAAATATATACAATATATAATATATAAATATATATAATATATAAAAATTTATATATATAAATTTATATATAATATATAAATATATAATATATTTATATAAAAAATATATATATTTATATATATTATATATAATATATAATTATACATTATATATAATATATAATTATATATAATATATAATATATATATAATTATATATTATATATAATTATATATATATAAAAAATGTCAGAAAATATACAATACTGCCTGAAAACAATAAACATGAATATCTAGTGGCCTGAATGGAGGAGATTATAGACTTACCCTGACAATGAAGAGCTCAGTACCAAGCTGTGCAGTTTGTTCTGTAGAAAGCTGCAAGCAAGTAAAAAACAAATTCAATGTCCAAGAACTCATTAATGTGAGTTTAATATCATTCACTGTACCTCACTCCAAAGGTGAGACTAAAATCTCTGATCAACTTGGAATTCTGCTGCATATCGGTTTTTGGGAGGCCTGCCTCGGCCTCCCAAAGTGCTGGGATTATGGGTGTGAATCACTGTGCCCAGCCAAATTCTGCAATATCGAATGTAGCTTGAATAAGCAGGCTGGCAGAGAGATTTACTAATGTTTCTGGCACACAGCTTTTGGGGGGAAACAGTAAATGTAGTGAGAAACAGCTGTCTACAGAAAATTATTCAGCAAGAGTTCAGGTACCTTGGCAGCCAGGATAGAAATGATAGCAACTGCCATCCTTTGCATGTTTTGATCCTCATGGTTGCAAAGCCACTGCATGACAAGCTTGGCTGCTTCAAACCTGAAAACACAAAAAGGGTTTCATGAATTAATCGTGGAGGCCCAGGCACAATTTCAGAGTTCCAGCTAGGAACTGATGCTACAACTTAAATATATGAAAAGGCAAGGGAAAATTCCTCTTAACTGGTAGAGAGTAACAATTACACTTAGTGTTTTAGAGATGATGCCATAATATTAATTCTGACAACATTTCATAAAGAAAGAAGGGTTTGGAAAATATCATTCCAACTATTTGGCATTTCATCTTCTAGAATTATAACATATTTCTATTCTGTATTTCTAAATTATAGTGATTTCCATATTATAGTTGTAATTTAAGTATTTTTTGGGTTCCTCATAGCACCTAACACAACAGAAACATTCATTCATTCATTCACAAACATATATTAAACTCTTGCTTTGTGCCAGATATTGTTCTTAGTGCTGGAGATAGAATAGTGAACAAAACAGAAAAATGTCCCTACTTTCATAGAGCTTACATTCTAGTGAGGAAGACAGGTAATAAATCAGATAAATACGTAAAATATATAGTATGATTAGGTACTGACCATATGCTACGGAAAAAAATAAAGCAGGAAAAGAGGATATGAAATGTTGAAATTTTATGTAGGGTGGCTACGGAAGGCCTCATTGAAACTTTTGAGGAAGTAAGAAAGAACCATATGGGCATTTAGGGGACAAGCATTCCAGGCAGAGGGGAGGAGAAATACAACAGCCCTGAAGTGGGTATGGGCATAGAAATGTCAACAAATAGCATGGAGGTCAGTGAGGCCAGAGCAGAGAGAACAAGGGAAGAGTTCTGAGAGATAAAGTGAGAGGTAACAGAGGCACCAGATCACATGGAGTCTAGTTATTAGTCCATTCTTGCATTGCTATAAATAACTACCTGAGACCGGGTAATTTATAAAGAAAAAAGGTTTAATTGGCTCATGGTTCCACAGGCTGTAAGGAAGCACCACTGGGAAGGCCTCAGGAAACTTGCAATCATGGTGGAAGGCGAGACTGGCACATCCTACATGGGTGAAGGAGATGGAAGGGCAAAGCCGGAGGTGCTACACACTTTTAAACGACCAGATCTCGGGAGAACTCTATCACAAGACAGCACTCGGGGGATGGTGCTAAACCATTAGAAAACACCCCCATGATCCAATCACCTCCCACCAGGCCCCACCTCCAGCACTGGTGATTACAATTTAACATGAGATTTGGGTGGCGTCACAGGGCCAAACCATATCATTAAGGAACTAGCTTTTACTCTGAATGAGAGGGAAAGCCATAGAAGGCTTCTGAGCAGGAATATGACATGAGCAGGACTACTCGATCATCTGTGTTTAGAATCAACTCCAGGAGGGCAAGGACAGAAGCAGGAGAGCAGTTCTGAGGCTACTGCAGTAATTCAGGAGAGAAATCACTTTTAGTCTACTCCACGTGATAGAAATGGAAGTGAAGAGAAATGGATGAATTCTGGATAAATTTTGAAGATAGAGCTGGATTTGCCAAAGAACTCAATGTGGGATACAAGGAGAAAAATCAAGATGAGGTCAAGGAATACATCTGATTATCTTACCCACAGTTTCATCCTTAAGACTCAGATCAAATATCACTGCCTTTGAGGTGGTTTCTTTGACACATTGATCACTGCCTTCTTAGCTCCTTAGTACTTTAGGTATAGCTGTCAGAGATCCACAGTCATCTGCACACTCACTTGAATCCCCATTTGGCCTGTGAGCTCCTTGAGGGCGGGGACTATATATCCTATTTAGCCCTTTATGCCACGCACGCACTCAATACAGTGATCGAAACATAAATAATGTTTAATATATGTTGACTGAATGATTATTTTCAGGTAGATTACTACTGTAGAACTTCTCTTAAATTTACTATTACCTTCTTTCTGTTTCCAAGGCCATTTCTGATTAGGCCCACTACTTGCATTCTTCTACAATATATTCCTAATTGGCTTCCCTGTCTCCACTAGTTTCCAATCAATGTGTGCCTGCACATTAGAAATAAACCTCTGGCCAGGAGCAGTGGCTCACGCCTGTAATCCCAGCACTTTGGGAGGCCGAGGTGGGCGGATCACAAGGTCAAGAGATAGAGACCATCCTGGCAAACATGGTGAAACCTCGTCTCTACTAAAAATACAAAAAATTAGCTGGGTGTGGTGGTGCGCGCCTATAGTCTCAGCTACTCGGGAGGCTGAGGCAGGAGAATCACTTGAACCCGGGAGGCAGAGGCTGCAGTGAGCTGAGATCACGCCACTGCACTCCAGCCTGGCGACAGAGTGAGACTCCATCTCAAAAAACGAAGAAGAAAGAAGAAATGAAAGGAAAGGAAAGGAAGGGAAAGGAAGAAAACAAAGAAAACTAAGAAAGGAAAGAAAGGAAAGAAAGGAAGGAAGGAAGGAAGGAAGGAAGGAAGGAAAGAAAGAAAAGGAAGAAAGAAAGAAACCTGTCCGAGGACTTAGGTATGATGTCACTCCCATACTCAAAGCATTCTAGGACTTTAGCGTGGGGCCATATCAAGCTTCTTCCTGCCTACCCTATGCTTTCTGCAAAGCAGATTGTTCATTAGTCTTCACACATGCCCACAAGTATGAGGTAACACAGGCTAGTGGTAAAGTGTAGAGATTCTCAAGTCAGTTCTGGGTCTGAATTCTAGTTCTACTTAATGTTAATGATAACAATAAAATAAATTATTTTATCGTGAGGCAATGCAGTCAAGTTGTTAAGAACATCATACACTTTGGAGTCAGCTTGGATTCCAATATCACCTCCACCACTTATTAACTTTTTGTTTTTGAGACGGAGTTTCACTCTTGTTGCCCAAGCTGGGGTGCAGTGGCACAATTTTGGCTCCCTCAACCTCTGCCTCCAGGATTCTCCTGCCTCAGCCTCCTAAGTAGCTAGGAGCCGCCACCACACCTGGCTAATTTTTTGTATTTTTAGTAGAGACAGCGTTTCACCATGTTGGCCAGGCTGCTCTAGAACTCCTGACCTCAAGTGATCCACTTGTCTTGGCCTCCCAAAGTGCTGGGATTACATTCTCCATGAGCCACTGCGCCTGGCCTAACTTTGGGACTCTGACCAAATTCCTTAACCTCGCTGAACTTCAACATTCTTATCTGTAAAATAGTAACAAAAACTTATTCCAGGCTGGGTGTGCTGGCTCACACCTGTAATCCCAGCACTTTGGGAGGCCAAGGCAGGCAGATCACCTGAGGTCAGGAGTTTGAGACCAGCCTGGCCAACATGGTGAAACCCCGCCTCTACTAAAAATACAAAATTAGCCTTGCGTAGCGGCGCACATCTGTAGTCACAGCTACTCAGGAGACTGAGGCAGGAGAATTGCTTGAACCTGGGAAGCAGAGGTTGCAGTGAGCCGAGATCTTGCTATTGCACTCTAGCCTGGGCAACAAGAGCGAAACTCTGTCTCAATAAATAAATAAATAAATAAAATAAAAACCTATTCCATAGGGTTGTCATGAGGATTAAATGATATCACATAGAAGCTTAAGACTTAGTACAGAATTTGGCACAAAATAAGTTCTTTATAAAAGTTAATTTTTACTAATATAATTGACTTTCTCTGTGCCTTTATTCATGCAGTTTCAACAACATAAAACAATTCAAACAGCTCTCATCTTCAAAACAACATAGCATGGATGAAAAAATGGAGGCCCTGGAGTCAGACTGAATTTAAATCTAGACTCTGCTACTTACTATCTTATTACCTTGGGCAAGTTACTAATCCTTTCTGTGTCTCTATTTCCTCATCTGTAAAATGAAGATCATAAGAGTAATAATTTCACAGGATTGTTCTGAGGACTGAATAAGCTTACATAAAACACTTTAGCACAATGTCTGCCTGGCAGTAGTAAGTGCTTCATACATGCTAGTTTTTACCGTTTTTATCTCAAGTGCCATAACTAACAGGAAATCCTTAATGATCATCAGTCAGACAGAATCTTTCCTTCCTTGTGTGGGGGCACAATGCATTTCATTAACACCTCTTCTATGAAAAATTCTGTCTCATGTAATATTCATTCATTCATTCATTCATTCATCCATCAATCAATCCACTAAATATCCACCCAAGCACTAGAGACAAAGAGATGAATCAGTCATAGCCTCTGACCACAAAGAAGGTCAATTCTAGCAGAGTGCATTGGCTAGATGAGAGGAAAGCAAACTACATAGCCTGTGGATCTGGCTGCCTGTTTTGTAAAGTTCTGTTGGAACACAGCCATATCCATTTGCTTACATATTACCTATGGCTGCTTTTGAGGGACAATGGCAGAGTTAAATAGCTGCAACTGAGACTCTATAGCCCATAGGCCTAGAGTATTTCTAATCTAGCCCATTAAGAAAATATTAAGGAGTAGAATATAATCTTTAGGAGAGTGACTATGTCTTTCCTACCTTAGACTTTGTTACGATGATGAGCACAGAGGTTCAATATTCCCAAAATAAAATTAGCAATCTACATGAGATATACGTAGTTATATTTTTATCCAAATTGTTTATTTCAAATAAAAAATGGAACACCTCTTTCCTTAGCCATGCCAGATAAGTGTACTCTGTTACTCAAATAAAAGTAAATCACAGTAAAATTGCTGCTTGAAGGCCAGGCGCAGTGGCTCATGCCTGTAATTCCAGCAATTTGGGAGGCCGAGGTGGGTGGATTACCTGAGGTCAGGAGTTCGAGACCAGCCTGGCCAACATGGTGAAACCCCATCTCTACTAAAAATACAAAAATTAGCCGGGTATGATGGCACATGCCTGTAATCCCAGCTATTTGGGAGGCTAAAGCAGGAGAATTGCTTGAACCCAGGTAGTGGAGGTTGCAGTGAGCCGAGATCACGCCATTGCACTCCAGCCTGGACAACAAGAGTGAAATTCCATCTCAAAAAAAAAATAAAATAAAATAAAAAATTGCTGCTGGAGAAACATACTTTTCATTAAATAATGAAGTATAAGTTTCCTTTTCAAAATGCCATTGTTAAAAAATTATATTTTAAGACTGGGCATGGTGGCTCACGCCTGTAATCCCAGCACTTTGGGAGGCTGAGGTGGGTGGATTACTTGAGGTCAGGAGTTTGAGACCTGCATGGCCAACGTGGTGAAACCCTGTCTGTACCAAAAAATACAAAAATTAGCCCAGCGTGGTGGCACATGCCTGTAATCCCAGCTACTCAGTTAGCTCAGGTAGGAGAATCACTTAAACTCAGGAGGAGGAGGTTGCAGTGAGCTGAGATTGCACCACTGCACTCCAGCCTGGGTGACAGAGTGAGACCCTTTCTCAAAAAAAAGAAAAAGAAAAATTATATCTTAAAATAGTAAAATAAAAAAAAAATTTAAGCTCCAAAATTACATCTTAGAAAACAAAGGACCCCTTTATATTTAATGGAATCTAGTTATATGGCCTCCCTTAACCTCTCCTTAAAAAGTTTCTTCCATAATTCAATACCAAATAATGATAATAATAACAGACATGTTACAAAAAAAAAAAAAAAAAAAGAACACTGGACCTAGAATTAGAAGACCTATGTCTTTTTTTTTTTTTTTTTTTTTTTTTGAGACAGTCTTGCCCTGTCACCCAGGCTGGAGTGCAATGGCGCGATCTTGGCTCACTGCAACCGCCGCCTCCGTTCAAACGATTCTCCTGCCTCAGTCTCCCGAGTAGCTGGGATTCCAGGCGTGCGCCACCACACCTGGCTAATTTTTTGTATCTTTAGTAGAGACAGGGTTTCACCAGGCTGGTCTCGAACTCCTGACATGGGGATCCTCCCGCTTTGGCCTCCTAAAGCGCTGGGATTATAGGCATGAGCCACTGTGCCTGGCCAAACCTGCATCTTACTAATCTTGCAGTTATTAGACACAAAGCCATAGTCAAGACAATGAATCTCTATATATGCCTTAGTTTTTTTATCTTTTGAATGGGGATAATAATGTTCATAGCTTACAATATCATGTGGATATCTTGAAAACTATAACCAACATAAATTCCTAAGCAAAGGACTATGAAAACATGGGTCAATTTGCTATCATGAATGTCAAAGCCACTAAATTAAAGAAAGTAGATTTAGCATTCTATAAAATAACCCACAATTCTATCTATTCAATTAATCTTATAAAAGGGATATCCTAAATGGTAAGAAATGACCCAAGACAGATTTCTAACATTCTGTTTTGCCCCACTTTAAGTTCTAGAGCTATCACTTGCCTGTTAAATGGAACATCTTGAAGGATCCGGTCACTGCAAAGTGAAAGGAGGCAATTCTTCTGTAACTAAAGAATCAAAGGAAGAAAAAAATCCTAAATAAAATATCACTTTGTTATATTTTAACCATGGTAGCTTCCATAAAAAAAAAAAAAGAAGAAGACTGATGAAACACCAGTTATTTCTTACAATCTTTATCTGCCCCCCTAGTATTGAAAGGCTGAGTTCCAGGAGACCCATACAAGTTTACTTGTACCTTTTTTTTATTTTCCATTAGATGAGAAATAGGGCCATAAATAGGATAATTACAGCTAATCTCCTTTCTGGTGGCCTATGAAGTAACCTTGTCTTCTGTATTTTTTGAGATAGAGAGCATGACAAAAACAGTGGTTGAAAGTTTTACCTGTTGACATAGCATCAAATATAGACGAGCCTGCTTGGAAGACTCTAACATAGAGTACACGGTGGGTAGTGTTCTACACACTGGCCTCTAAAGAGTGACTGACAGACTTGGCTCTATCTTTTAAATAAAGTTTAGACCAGCACAATTAAACAAGAGTAAATGAAAATATGAATAATTAATTGACACAGTCAAGGTGCACCATCATAATAGAAAGGTGATTCAAGTTATTCCTGTGAAGCAAAATAAGAAAATAAGTGTGGGCTTAAAAAAAAGTCACAGTGTATATACTACTAAAATTTTTTTATTTGGACAAATGGCTTTAATATTTTTTAAAGGTTTTTGTGTACGATTGGAAGATTTCTTATCTAAAAAGACTTAATATAGGGAATTCAATCATAGAAGGCAAAAGTCAGTTAATGGGATATATACAGCTAGTCAAGAAATAGAAAAACAGATATAAAATGAACACCCTATTTGCTTCATGGAAGATGCAGAAAGATTACATAATAGAAGAAATGGCAGAGAAAAGGCAAAGTGGTAGTGAATCCCAGGTGAATGATATGGAATGGGTTAGGTACAAGTGTAATTAATTAAGAGGGTTTCTCAGGAAGTTTTATATTCATCACAGATGGTCAAGGTGCTAGGACAGACACTGCTTGAGGATCCATTTAAATCTGAATCATAATCTGGCAGATTGATTAGTGGCATAACTTTCCTCCTTCACCATTTTTCTCCTCCCAAATAAACACGATAATTTGTACAGGATCCATAGAAGTAAGAAAGGCAATAATGCTATTCTAATTACCTCCACTTAGAAAGCCCATCCCTCCTGTTCCTTTAGCTGGAAAACTCCTAATTTTCCTTCACAATTCAACTCAGGGCAAAGATATTACCTCATTGAGGAAGACTTCTTAGTTTTTGTTTGTTTGTTTGTTTTTGAGACAGGGTCTCGCTCTGTCACCCAGGCTGGAATGCAGCGGCACAATCATAGCTCACTGCAGCCTCAAACTCCTGGCACTCAAGTGATCCTCCTGCTTCAGCCTCCCAAAGTGCTGGGATTAAAGGCAAGCCACAGTGCACAGCCTCTAATTTTCAAATTGTCCTAAGTGCTCCTCCTGGGCTCCCAACAGCACTTGTTTCTCTTAGTACTTGCTACACCATGCTACATTATGTGTTTCTGTATCTGAATGCTTAGAACTTGGCACAGGTGCACATAGTCTGACTTCAACAAAGAGCTGCTAAGCTTAACTGAACTAATGGCTAACTTAATAACAGAAGATAAATTTCACTGAATCTATGCCTTACTGCATTTGAAAAGCACCACAGGTAGAAATGGAAAAGAGAAAGACTTTTGCTGTAGTCTTCAATTTCCGCCCAGCTAGAGTTTTGATTTTGGGGGCTACAGTCTGAACTATGCAAGTATTTAGGAATTTTCTTTAAATTTTTTTTTTAAGGAATTCAATGTGGAATCAAACTTTCCTATGCTGGCATTCATCAAATCTGGCCCTAACCTGGATATCACTGGCCTCATCCTACACTGCCCTTCCTACACTCCAGTCACATGCAACCTGCCCTTCCTGGAATGCCTGCACATTCACATATATATTTACAAAATATATGTAGGCATAGGTCCACTGTTTTTCTGCTTTTCTCCATGGGAAATCTTATTCATTTTTTAAGATGTGAGTCAATGTCACTTCCCCTTTGAAATCCTGCCTGGTACCTTTGTCTATACACCAATCCAGCCAGCAGAATTAATCATTCTCAACTTTCTGTAGCACTTAGTTAAAATAGCTAAAAAAATTTCAAAATAGTTTACAGTATTTGCATTTCCAACTAATAGGTGAATTCCCAGGGTTTTTTTTTTTTAATTGAGTTGTTTTTAAATGTTTTTACTAAATAAGAAATACAGAAAAATATTTACAAAATATATGTAGGCATAAGACAGTGCTTCTCAAACTTTAATGTGTATACAAATCACTTGGAGTCTTGATATAGATGATTCTGTAAGTCTGTTATCTTGAGATTCTGCCTTACTAACAAGCTTGCAGGGGATGCCAGCGCAGCTGGTTAGCAGAACACACTTTGAGTAGCAAAAGTGTAAGGAATAATAATACAGTGAATACTACTGCTGTGTAGGTGTACCTACCACTCAGTTTCAGAAAAAGAATCTATTACCAATAGTACTATTAGCAAGCCCCATTTGGCCCCCTCTTTTCCCTCTCATTTCCCCTCAGAGGAACTAATAGCTAAATTTTGTGTTTAACAGTCCCTTGCTTTTTATCAAAACATGTATTTATATTCCTAAATAATGTGTCGTATAGTTTTGCAAGTTTCTGAACTGTAAGTAAATTGAATCACATGTATGTACTCTTCTGCATTTTTTAAAATACCCAATTTGTAATTGAGATTGATCAAGGTTGTCATCTGGAATTGTAATTCATTCATCATTCACTGCTTCTAAGTATTCCGATGTGTGACTAAACACAGGCTGATGGACATTTGGTGTTTGGTGTTTCCAATATGTTATCATTATACACAGTTACACAGTGCTACTGTGAACACTTTTTTTTTTTGAGACAAGAGTTTCGCTCTTGTTGCCCAAGCTGGAGTTCAATGGTGCGATCTTGGCTCACTGCAACCTCCCCCTCCCGGGTTCAAGCGATTCTCCTGCCTCAGCCTCCCGAGTAGCTGGGATTATAAGCATGCGCCACCACGCCCAGCTAATATTGTATTTTTAGTAGGGATAGGGTTTCTCCATGTTGGTCAGGCTGGTCTCAAACTCCTGACCTCATGTGATATGCCTGCCTTGGCCTCCCAAAGTGCTGGGATTACAGGTGTGAGCCACAACGCCCGGCTCGAACATTCTTTTTTGTTTGTTTGTTTTGAGACAAGGTCTTGCTCTGTTGCACAGGCTGGAGTACAGTGGCTTGATCACAGTTCATGGCAGCCTTGAGTGCCTGGCTCTAACAATTCCTCAACATATGGATTTAAATGCTTTTAGGCATGTACTCTTTAGGCTCCTGAGTAGTTGGGACCACAGATGGTGTGCCACCATGCCAGGTTAATTTTTTTATTATCTGTAGAGACAGGGCCTCACTATGTTGCCCAAGTTGGTCTTGAACTCCTGGGCTCAAGTGATCCTCCTATTTCAGCCTCCCAAAGTGCAGGGATTACAGGCGTGAGCCACCGTGCCTGGCCTACTGTGAACATTGTTTTTAAAAATATATAACGACTTTATTGAGATACAGTTCATGTACCATACGATTCACCTACTTAAAGTGTACAATTTGATGGATTTTAGTAGAGTCACAGAGTTGTGCAACCATCACAATTTCATCATCCCAAACATTTCCATCACCCCAGAAGGAAACTCTATAACCATTACAGTGACTTCCCATTTCCCCCACCCCATTTCCTAACCTTATTTATTTTATATGCATCCTTTCTCATTTTTCCCTGATCAACTTTGCCAGTGAATTTTCAATACTATTAAATATGTTCAAAGAACCAATTCTTGGAATTATTGATCCTCTCTAAAATAATGGTATGTTTTTTATTTTATTAATTTTTACTTTCATCTTTGTTATTCCTTCCTTCTACTTTCTTTGGGCTTATTCTTTTGTTGTTTCTCTAACATAGGCAGACTTATTTATAGCTCCCTTTTTGTAAGAATGTATCTCTGGGGAGGAAGTCATAGTTTATGCTAGGAGTCTTCTGTCTGACGGGCTTCCAGAGGCCACGAAAATCAAAGCCTAAATTTCATCTAGTTTGGCAACTGCCCTCAATGAGGGAAGCTGGCTTCAATGATCTACTCACCAATGTGGCTTGCCATTTTTACTTGGTTTTGAGCCTCTGAGTATTTTTTACTAACTTGCCAACTCAATGGTCAATTTCAAATGACCTAAAAAAAAGTTAAGGGCCGGGTGAGGTGGCTGTAATCCCAGCATTTTCAGAAGTTAAGGTGGGCGGATCACAAAGACAAGAGATGGAGACTATCCTCACCAACATGTTGAAACCTTGTCTCTACTAAGAATACAAAAATTAGTTGGGTGTGGTGGTGCGCGCCTGTAATCCCAGCTACTTGGGAGGCTGAGGCAGGAGAATCACTTGAACCCGGGAAGTGGAGGTTGCAGTGAGTTGAGATCGCGCCACTGCACTCTGGCCTGGCAACAGAGCAAGACTCTGTTTAAAAAACAAAAAAATTAAGCAACATTTTTAGTATTCATCCTGAGTATAAGACAGGTTACATCTTCTACCATACTGCTAGAAATGGAAAAGACATGTCTTAATCATTTATGTATCCCAGCATTTGATAGTGCCTAGCCCAGAACAGATCCTCTGTGCCTATCTGCTGAAATGATCACAAACTCAAGATCTAGGAGGAAGATGAGTTTTGTATGGCTTGTATTATGTCCCCCAATATATGGATTTAGGTGCTTTTAGGCACGGAATATACTCCTTTGGTGTCCACTTCTCTGTTTTCTTACACTCAGTCATACCACAGCCTCCAAAGGCATTTGAATTTCCAGCCTTGGTCTATTAAACTGAACTGTAGGAGATGAGTAGAAGACACTACAAGGACTATTTGAAAAGGAATTCACATAAGCTTACCTGCTGGTGATTGGGAAAATGTTCCATGGCTTTGAGCAGCAAATGGGTCACATCAGCCAGGAGTCGGACAGGCATCCCTGCAGCAAGATCCTGCTTGGTTAAGTTAAATACACAGGCGCTTGCAGCCAGTTGCACTGGCAAATTCATAGGGTGGTTTCTCATCCCAGTAACCACAAGCTGGAAAAAAAAAATTAGTCCTCTTAATTCACCTTATAAATACAAGCCCTCTTCACAGAGCAGAATTATTTTGTTGGTCTATAGTAATTTCAAAGATGTCATAATTTTCTTTTTCATCCTCATGTGCAAAGAGCCTAGGATATAGCAGTTACTCACAAATAGTTCCAGTCTACCTCACCAAGGCAGGTATTCAGCTATTCATATCTAGGGGTTTTCTGTAAAGTTAATGAATCTTTTTCACACAGGTCACTCATCTTTGTATTTCCAAGACCTACTTATGGTGCCTGTTATATGGAAGGCAGTGAATAAATTCTCACTGACTTGAATAGAGCACACTCCACTCTCAAATTTCAATCTTCAGTTCCTTGAGAACACTGCTGAGGTTAAAGTGCAATAAAATCCATTCACTTTCCCTGGCCTAGACAACTATTTCTCACTTTTTCCTCTGCCCTCAAACCCCCAACGAATCCTTCCCATTCCTCACTATCAGCTGAAGATCTTGCTTTCAACTACACTAAGAAAACTGCCAGCCTGGGCAACATGGTGAAACCCCATCTGTATAAAACAATACAAAAATTCACTGGGGGCCAGGCATGGTGGCTCATGCCTGTAATCCCAGCACTCTGGGAGGCCAAGGCAGGTGGATCACTTGAGGTCAGGAGTTTGAGACCAGCCTGGCCAACATGGTGAAACCCCATCTCTACTAAAAATACAGAAAGTAGCTGGGCATGGTGGCACGTGCCTGTAATCCCAGCTACTCGGGAGGCTGAAGCAGGAGAACTGCTTTAACCCAGGAGGCAGAGGTTGCAGTGAGCCAAGAGCACACCATTGCACTCAAGCCTGGATGACAACGGTGAAACTCCATCTCTCTCTCTCTCTATATATATATATGTGTGTGTGTGTGTATATGTGTGTATGTGTATATATACATATATGTATAGATGTATATACACATATATGTATAGATGTATATACACACACGTGTATGTACATATACACACACGTGTATGTACATACACACACACGTGTATGTACATATACACACGTATGTATACATATACGTGTGTGTGTATATATATATATATATAAAGCTGGGCATGGTAGTACACGCCTATAGTCCCATCTACTTGGGAGGCTGAGGTGGGAGGATCACCTGAGCCCTGGGAGGCAGAGCCTGTAGTGAGCCATGGTTGTGCCACTGCACTTCTGCCTGGGGGACAGAGTGAGACCCTGCCTCTAAGGAAAAGAGAAAAAAAAAAAAAAAAAGAAAGAAAGAAAACTGAAGCAACCAGAAAAGAACTTCAGATTCTCATTACCACATGTATCCTACTTACCAGCATACGTACATATACATGTCACCTTCCTGCCTGCTACCATAAGGAATCTTTTGGGGTCCTTTGTAAAACAAATCCCTTCATGTATATGTTAGATAATTATTTTCTTGTCTACTGAAAGGAAGCTGTTCACCCCTCCTACTCCTATATCAATTTTTTATTCTGTACTGGATCATTCATATCAGGATACAAACAAGATATATTTTTCCTATTAAAAAAAATCAAAACATCCCTCTTTTAATCTCACTTCCTCAAACGATTACCATCTTTTTTCTTTGCTCCCCTTTGCAGCAAAATTCCCTATAAGAATTGCCTTGGCCAGGCATGGTGGCTCATGCCTGTAATCCCAGCACTTTGGGAGGCCGAGGCAGGTGGATCACTTGAGATCAGGAGTTCGAGACCAGCCTGGCCAACATGGTGAAACCTCGTCTCTACTAAAAATATAAAAATTAGCTGGGCGTGGTGGCAGGTGCCTATAATCTCAGCTACTCGGGAGGCTGAGGCAGAAGAATCGCTTGAACATGGGAAGCAGAGGTTGCAGTGAGCTGAGATAGCACCACTGCACACCATCCTGGGCAATAGGGTGAGACTCAGTCTCAAAAAAAAAAAAAGGAATTGCCTAGGCTAGGTGCAGTGGCTCATGCCTGTAATTACAGGACTTTGGGAGCTCAAGGCAGGAGGATCACTTGAGGTCAGGAATTCGAGACTAGCCTGGGCAACACAGCAAGAACCTGCCTCTACAAAAAATTTTTTTAAAATTAGCCTGTGTAACATAGTGTGACCCCCGTCTCTACAAAATTAGCCCGGTGTGGTTGCATGGGCCTGTAGTCCTAGCTACTCAGGAGGCTTAGGCAGGAGGATTGCTCGAGCCCTGGAGTTTGAGGTTACAGTGAGCTATGATCATACTACTGCACTTCAGCCTGGGTGACAGAGTGAGGCACTGTCTCAAAAATAAATAAATAAATTTATTTTTAAAAATTTGAAAAATTAGCCAGGTGTGATGGCACACACCTATACTCCCAGCCATTCGAGAGGTTGAGGCAGAAGATTGCTGAGCTCAAGAGTTTGAGGTTGCAGTTGCAGTGAACTATGATCGTGCACCACTGCACTCCAGCTTGGGCAATACAGCTAGATCTTGTATCTTTAAAAAAATAAAATAAAAGTGGCTCACTCCTATAATCCCAACACTTTGGGAGGCCAAAGCGGGAGAATCACTTGAGCACAGGAATTTGAGACCAGCCTGGGCAACACAGTGGGTTTCCATCACTACAAAAAAACCAATAATAATAATAACAAATTTTAAAATTCAGCCAGGCATGGTGTTATTAGCTTGTAGTTCCAGCCACTCTGGAGGCTGAGGAAGGGGGATCATTTGAGCCCAGGAGGGAGGTCGAGGCTGCAGTGAGCCATGATCATGCCACTGCACTCCAGCATGGGTGACAGAGTGAGATGCTACCTCAATAAATAAACAAATAAATAAATAAATAAATAGCCTATATTCTTCCATTTATCTCTGAATCATTCTCTGAATGTCTGAATGAATATTTCAGATCAAGACTAGAGATCTAGTCTTCTGTTGCTCAGTTCACAGTAATCAAAACAAAAAAAAAAAGACAATTCATATACCAAGTGCCAACATCCTCTGATATATATAAAAGGAGTGACAGGTGTTGGTGATAATATCCTAAGGACTAAAATGTTACTGGTTCCTACCCAAGCGCCTCATTCTCAGAATTTAAGATATGTAGGATATCAAGTTGTGGCTCTGCCACTGACTTATTATTACTTAACGTCACAGAACCTCAATTTCATTATCTGTAAAACAGAAGATAAAACCCATCTCTTGGAATTGTGCCCACTAAATGAGGTGCCAAATATAATAGAGTCCTAAGCTCATTGGTTTTCAAAATTGAACGTGCGTAAGAATTACCTTGGAATTATCTTGGGGGCTTATTAAAACGTAGATTCCTGTGCCTCATCTAGCCCTACTGAATCTAAATTTTTGGGAGTGGGGTTTACAAATATCTTTTTTTTTTCTCTTTTAAGACAAGTTTTCACTCCTGTCACCCAGGTTGGAGTGTGGTAGCATGATCTCAGCTCGCTGTAACCTCTGCCTCCCTGGCTTGAGCAATTCTCCCGCCTCAGTGTCCCATGTAGCTGGGACTACAGGTGCGTGCCACCACAGCTGGCTAATTTTTGTAATTTTTGTAGAGATGGGGTTTTGCCATGTTGCCCAGGCTGGTCTTGAACTCCTGAGCTCAAGTGATCTGCCTGCCTTGGCTTCCCAAAGTACTGGGATTACAGGTGTGAGCCACCATGCCTGGCCACAAATAAGCTTTTTAAATAAGCAACATCCTAGACTTCTAGTGGTTAAAGGACAACTTTGGTTGTTGTTGTTGTTGTTGTTTTGAGAGAGTCTTGCTCTGTTGCTCATGCTGGAGTGCAGTGGCACGATCTCGGCTCACTGTAAACTCGGCCTCCCAGGTTCCTCATGCCTCAGCCTCCTGAGTAGCTGGGATTACTGGCGTGCACCACCACATTTGGCTAATTTTTTGTATTTTTAGTAGAGATGGGGTTTCGCCATGTTGGCCAGGCTGGTCTAGAACTCCTGGCCCCAAGTGACCCACCTGCCTCAGCCTCCCAAAGTTATTACAGGTGTGAGCCACTGCGTCCTGGCCCAAAGGACCACATTTTGATAAATGTTGCCCAAAGCATTCAATAAAATTAAGAAATCTCCTTTCTTGCCCTTCAAAAGCTGTTTTGGTTAAAATAGCTAGGTGCTGTGATGTACACACCTGTAGTCCTAGCTACTTGGGAGGTTAAGACAGGATTGCTTGAGCCCAGGAGTTTGAGGCCTGTGAACAGCCACTGCACTCTTGCCTGGGGAACACAGTAAGACCCTATGTCTTAAAAACAAAACAAAACTTAATTGCGGAGTAATGTAAATCAGTTAAGAATGCATAGTAGGTTCTAAACAGCATGGAAAAGTACCTTATAGAATTTCAATATTTGCTTTGTCTTTACTTCTCTCTTTTTTTTATTTTTTTAATACTTTTTGTAGGAATGGGGTTTTGCCATCTTGCTCAGGCTGGTCTCGAACTCCTGGGCTCAAGCTACCCATCTGTCTCAGCTCCTGAAGTGCTAGGATTACAGGCATGAACTACCATATTTGGTGCAATATTGTATTTCTAAAAAATCTATTTGGGAAGCAATATAGGGTTAATATACAATACAGTGTCCTGATTCCAGTCATATACTTTCATTTTCTACAGTAGCTGGTGATAAAATATCATGGTAGTCACTGGTTTTAGGTAGATAAATATGTACTACAAGACATTTATATTGCTTAATGAGATTATTGTGAAGCTTCAATAACATTGTACAACTATCTTCTCTCTCGTTTATAGCTAATGATTGAAATCACACGTCATCAATCACATTATAAATAATAAAAAAAGACTAAATGCAAATTTTCACCAATTTTCTTCAAAAAATCATCTGCCCAGGGAGATCATTTCAAAAATTTCATATCCAGTTTCTTATTCTTACCTTTAAAATTTCTGGCTTTGTTTTTTCCATCACATGAGTCAGACTAAAAAGATGAAATAGAGCTTCCCGAACAAAGAATGCCCGTTCACTGTAACGCTTCAGTGCTTCTGCAATCTGAGTTTCATTGGCTTCCCCAGACACCTGTGAACATAACCAGATTAGCTTTTAGAATTCTCTCTCTTTCTCTATCTAATTATCATGTGTGGCCAGGCGCGGTGGCTCACGCCTGTAATCCCAGTACTTTGGGAGGCCAAGGTGGGTGGATCATGTGAAGTCAGGAGTTCGAGACCACCCTGGCCAACATGGTGAAACTCCATCTCTACTAAAAATAAAAAATTAGCCAAGCACGGTGGTGCATGCCTGTAACTGCAGCTACTCAGGAGGCTGAGGCAGGAGAATCGCTTGAACCCAGGAGGCGGAGGTTACAGTGAGCTGAGATCACGCCACTGCACTCCAGCCTGGGCAACACAGCAAGACTCTGTCTCTAAATAAATAAATAAATATCATTTGTATACATGGTATCTTGGATAGTTATGTAAAGCTGGGATCAAATAAAAATGACTATACTTTCCAATCTATCCAGATTAGTCATCTTAAACAGCTATATCTGTCTTGAAGAGATGTATATTAGATAGGCTCAGAACCTAGCATAAGACCATGGGCGAAATTTTCTGTATTATACCTAAAATAGATCTCAAGATATTTAACACTATTATAAGGCCCTACCGCTTGATTAGGATCCTATCTGCCTCTTAATCCCCTCCCTCTAGCTCACAATGTTATAACTGTATGACCTTTTTTCCTCACCTTTCCGTAAGTCAAGCTTTTTCTCAGCAAAGGACCACTCATACAATGTCCTCTCTGACTGAAAACTTCCTTTCTCTCTTTACCTGACTAATTTCTACTCATTCTTCCTTATTCAAGTTAAGGACACTTTCTTAGAGAAGTCTTTGTTGAGCCACTGATTTAAGTTAGGTCCCCTGAAACATCTCTTTCAGAGCTATTATCATAATCCCCCACTACATTGATCCATTCACCATTGTACCACAATAGCTAGCGTTATGCTTGGCTCAGAATACTTTCTCCATAAGTATTCATCAAATAAATGTATCAATTAATTTCCCCAGATTTATCACGCTCCTTTTCAGCACCAAGAGGTTCTGTTTAAAATTAAGTCTTTCTAGGGATTCCCAACATAAAAGTATATTATTTTAAGATAATACGCTTATCTTAAAATGTAGTTCAGGTGCCATTCGGCAACCAAACGTAGGTAGCAGAAAGTGGCTCTTTATAAAAGTAATCCAACTAGTAAGTGAAAAATAAATGATTAAAATATCACCATAATCCCCAATGAATTGATAGATCTAGCTACTAAGTGTCAATAACTGCTAACATCACAGAAAGAGAAACAACTAGATATTTATGTACCTCATAACGTAAGAATACAACACCTAAGGGTCTGGCCAAAGGGATCTAACGTAAGTCTAATTAAGCCTCCAAATCCAGCTACCAATTTGCAGAAAATACAAAGAGAAAGATGCACCATTAGTATACAATCAGCAAAATCCAGGCTGGCAGAGTGGCTTATATCTGTAATCCCAGCACTTTCGGAGGCTGAGGCAGGAGCATCACTTTAACCCCAGGAGTTCCAGACCAGCCTGGGCAACACAGCAAGACCCTGTCTCTACAAAACATCAACAAATACAATAAAATCCAGACTGAGGGAAACTCTACAAATCCAAACGATAGATTATTCAATAAACAAATTATAAGGAAAAGAAAGGGATGAGGAGAAACCTATAAACTAAAAGATACTCAAAAGACATCAAATTGTTTTAAACAGACAAGATTATACAGGTGCCTAAATAGTTGGGTCATAAAATTATAAAGAAATGAAAGGACATGGTTGGGTGTAGTGGCTCGCGCCTGTAATCCCACCACTTTGGGAGGCTGAAGCGAGCTTTGGGGTAGATGACAAAGTTCTGTTACTTAACCTGAGTGATGGTCTCAAGTGTGTTCACTTTATTTTCAACTCATTAAGCTATATAATTATTTACTGCCTTTGTCTCTGTTTTATTTTACAATAAAGTTTTAAAAAATGCCAAAAAACGTCATTCAGAGCGACTATCTCATAATAAGGGGAAGATTTAGTCTTTTTTGGCAGTAACATTATACAGTGTGACACAAAAGTAATCAAATATTTTAAAAATATATTACTCAGTAACTAAGTTGTATATAAACATATAATATTCAGCCAGGCATGATGGCTCATGCCTGTAATCCCAGCACTTTGGGAGGTAGAAGCAGGAGGATCACTTGAGCCCAGGAGTTCAAAACCAGCCTGGGGAACATAGTAAGACCCTGTCTCTATAAAAGAAAAGAAAAATTAGTTACGTGTGATGGTGCATGCCTGTAGTCCCAGCTACTTGGGAGACTGAAGAGGACTGCTTGAGCCCACGAATTTGAGGCTGCAGTAAGCCATGACTGTGCCACAGCACTCCATGATGCGCAACAGAGTGAGACTCTATCAAAAAAAACAAAAAAGCCTATAAACGTTCAGATTGGAATATGCAGCTTTGAGGAAATGAAGGGATGTATCATGGTTGACATTTCAACCATTAATAGGATATGCTACAAGAGTCTGAAATGAATTAGACTACAGTATTGATATATGTCACATGACACAAGGGTACATATGAAGAATTTCTAAGATTGTTGAAATAATAATAAAAGTTTCTTTACTTCCATTACTTTACGTCTTTTCTCTTTTTTTTCCTTTTTTTTGAGATACGGTCTTGCTCTGTCGCCCAGACTGGAGTGCAGTGGCACGATCTCGGCTCACTGCAACCTCTACTTCCCGGGTTCAAGCAATTGTCATGCCTCAGCCTCCTGAGTAGCTGGGATTACAGGCGCCCGCCACCACGCCCGGCTAATTTTTGTATTTTTAGTAGAGACGGGATTTCGTCATGTTGGCCAGGCTGGTCTCGAACTCCTGACCTCAAATGATCAGCCAACCTCGGCCTCCTAAAGTGCTGGGATTACAGGCATGAGCCACCACTTCCAGCCTCCATTACTTTACTTCTTTAAACCCTTTTTAAACTTTCTATTTATGTATAACATACATACACAAACTGGTTTGGACTACATATTCACATATACAAATGGGTATTTAATAAAATTTTTCAAAGTGTTCAGTTCATTGAATCACCCAGAACTTTTTCTTATAAATTCAGAAAAAAACAAAAAATGCTGAAATGTGAAATGAAAAAAACTCTAAGAGGGAAATATAAAATAATCTAAATCAGACTTTATTCTTCCTTTACCCACATTTGGTTGGTTCCAACAGCTTTATAAATCTCTTATACGAAATATATCCTCAAGTTACCTTGAATATAAAATTAAAGAACTCTTGTTACTGGAATGTTAAAGACTCTAAGCCAATTTTTTTTTTTTTTTTTTTGAGACACAGTCTTTCTCTATTGCTCAGTCTGGAGTGCAGTGGCACAATCTTGGCTCACTGCAACCTCCACCTCCCAGGTTCAAGTGATTCTCCTGCCTCAGCCTCCTAAGTAACTGGGACAACAGGCATCTGTCACCATGCCCGGCTAAATTTTTTTGTATTTTTAGTAGAGGCAAGGTTTCATCATGTTGGCTAGGCTGGTCTCCAACTCTTGGCCTCAAGTGATCCGCATGTCTTGGCCTCCCAAAGTGCTGGGATTATAGGCGTGCTCTAAGCCAACTTTATTGCATATATATATATATATTTTTTTTTTTAAGACAGAGTTTTGCTCTTGTTGTTCAGGCAGGAAATCAATGGCGCCATCTTGGTTCACCACAACCTCCACCTCCTGGGTTCAAGCAATTCTCCTGCCTCAGCCTCCTAAGTAGCTGGGATTACAGGCATGCGCCACCACGCCCGGCTAATTTTTTTGGGATTTTTAGTAGAGGCGGGGTTTCTCCATGTTCGTCAGGCTGGTCTCCAACTCCTGACATCAGGTGATCCGCCTGCCTCAGCCTCCCAAAGCACTGGGATTACAGGCGTGAGCCACTGCATCCAGACATTGCCTCTATGTTTTATTCAGTGAACAACACTTCTCTACCCAGTGACAAACCCTCACATCTGGCTGCTCAAATTATAAGTATATTCTTTTTTCTCCCAAAGTGCTGGGATTACAGGCGTGAGCCACCACGCCTGGCCGACTAAAGCTATTTTTAAATTAGTCTGTATCTTCTCCACTAGACTAGAATTCCTCAAGAGCAGGGATATTAACAGATATCTTTTTGTTGTTGTTTTTTTGTTTTTGAGACACAGACCCACTCTATCGCCCAGGCTGGAGTGCAGTGCCACAATGCTGGCTCACTATAACCTCCGCCTCCCAGGTTCAAGCAATTCTCCTGCCTCAGCCTCCTGAATAGATGGGATTACAGGCATGTGCCACCATGCCTGGCTAATTTTTGTATTTTTAGTAGAGACGGGGTTTCACCACGTTGGCCAGGCTGGTCTTGAACTCCTGACCTCAAGTGATCCGCCCGCCTTGGCCTCCCAAAGTGCTGGGATTACAGGTGTCAGATGGGGGTCTCACTATGTTGCTCAGGCTAGTCTTGAACTCCTGAGCTCAAGCAATCCTCCCACCTCGGCCTCCCAAAGTGCTGGGATTAAAGGCATGAGCCACCACGCCTGGCCAAAAAACATTTATGTACCTTCACTGCATGTTGATTACTGCAGTTCAATATAGGAGTCTGACTTCAAGGGAGAGCTCTAAGTTAAGACACAAATTTAGGAGTCATCAGCATATAGATTTAAGGACTGAGGTGCAGAACTCTCCAACAGTTAGAAGCCTGGAAGATGAGGAAGAACCAACAAAGGAAATTGAGGCTTAGTAGCAAGACAAGTAGGAAAAAAAAAACAAGACAAGTATGATATCCTGGAAGCTAAGTTAAAAAAAAAAAGGTATCTCAAGGAAGAGGCAAAGATCAATTATGACAAATACCATTTTACTTTGGGTCAAATAAAATGAAGACTAAGAACTAACACTGGGTTTAGCAGATTTTCAATGTTCTCATGAGTTGGGAGCTACAGCATGGTAGATAATCCAAGTATGGGATAAGGTGGCCAACAAATGTAAGAATTCTAGTTCTGGAGAAATGGAAGGTTCAGGAAACTGATGGTAACAGAAGAGAAAACTGAGTAGGGAAATAGTGAGAAGAGAAAATCGAGTGGGGAAATACTGATGACAGAGCTGGAAATTCTATGGTAAGAAAGCCAGGCTAGGCTCAGGGGCTTACACCTATAATCCCAAAACTAGGAGGCCAAGGTGGGAGGATCGCTGAGCAAGAACCCATCTTTACAAAAACACTAAAAAAAAAAAAAAAAAAAAAAAAAATTAGGCCAGGCACAGTGGCTCACGCCTGTAATCCTAGCACTTTAGGAGGCCGAGGCAGGCAGATCACCTGGGTCAGGAGTTCAAGACTAGCCTGGCTAACATGGTAAAACCCCATCTCTACCAAAAATACAAAAATTAGCTGGACATGATAGCAGGCACCTGTAATCCCAGCTACTCAGGAGGCTGAGGCAGGAAATTCGTCAAAACCTGGGAGGTGGAGGTTGCTGTGAGCCGAGATCACGCCATTGCACTCCAGCCTGGGTGACGGAGCTAGACTCCATCTCAAAAAAAAAAAAAAAAAATTAGCCAGTTATGGTGGCACATGCTTGTGGTCCCAGCTACTCAGGAGGCTAAGCCAGGAGGATCCACTCGAGCCCAGGAGGTAGAGGCTGCAGTGAGCCTGTTCATGCCCACTGTACTCCAGCCTGGGTAACAGGGCAAGACCCTGCCTCTGAGGAAAAAAAAAAAAAAAGTTATTGTAAAACAGTGATTCATGAGTTTGGCTGGACACTGCAATCATCTAAGCTTTAAAAAATACTGATGCCTGGGTCTCACCTCTCTTCCTAACGCAGTCTTTGCACGTATTATTCTGTCTGCCTGGAATGCTCTCTACTGAGCTACTCACCCTTAAGATCTCCACTCATCCATCAATTTCTCAGAGAAACCAGGCCGAGGGTGGTGGCTCACTCCTGTAATCCTAGCACTTTGGAAGGCCAAGACAGGCGAACTGCCTGAGCTCAGGAGTTCGAGACTAGCCTTGGCAACATGGTGAACCCCTGTCTCTACTAAAATACAAAAACTTAGCCGGGCATGGTGGTGTGTGCCTATAGTCCCAGCTACTTGGGAGACTGAGGCAGGAGAATCACTTGAACCTGGGAAGCAGAGGTTGTAGTGAGCCAAGATCATACCACTGCACTCCTGCCTGGGCGACAGAGCGAGACTCCATCTCAAAAAAAAAAAAAAAAAAAAAAAAAAAAAAAAATATATATATATATATATATATATATATAGTTTAAAGCATACATCTATAAAAGGTATAAATATAAAAATGTATTTCTAATCATATAATCACCACTCCCATTAGGTTAAGCTCCTTGGAGGCAGATCCTATATCATTTTCTTTTTTTTTTTTTTCTGAGACGGAGTCTCACGCTGTCACCCAGGCTTGAGTGCAGTGGCACAATCTTGGCTCTCTGCAACTTCCGCCTCCTGGATTCAAGTGATTCTCCTGCCTCAGCCTCCTGAGTAGCTAGGACTACAGGCACATGCCACCATGGCTGGCTAATTTTTGTATTTTTAGTAGAGACGGGGTTTCACCATGTTGGCCAAGCTGGTCTTGAACTCTTGACCTCAAGTGACCTGCCCACCTCTGCCTCCCAAAGTGTTGGGATTATAGGTGTGAGCCACTGCACCCAGCCTCATTTTCATTTTTGAATCCCAAGCTCTACCAAATCCAACTGATGTTTGTTAAACTAAATTTAAACCATTAGGCATGAGAAATCTTAGGAAAAGCAAAATTCTACCATTTCTACAGTAGAGATCTCCTTAGAAAACTTGATCTTCCACTAGGTATTCAATTCAACAAGGGGTGTCCTTAGTTTCTCTGAAGTTATCCATTAAAAACAGTATATGTAGCTGGGCGCGGTGGCTCATGCCTATAATCCCAGCACTTTGGGAGGCCGAGGCGGGCAGATTACGAGGTCAGGAGATTGAGACCATCCTGGCTAACACAGTGAAACTCTGTCTCTACTAAAAATACAAAAAATTAGCCAGGCGTGGTGGCGGGCGCCTGTAGTCCCAGTTACTCAGGGGACTGAGGCAGAAGAATGGCGTGAACCCGGGAGGCAGAGCTTGCAGTGAGCCAAGATAGCGCCACTGCACTCCAGCCTGGGCGACAGAGCAAGACTCCGTCTCAAAAGAAAAAAAAAAAACAAGCCTTTCGTTGCCTGATCGCCGCCATCATGGGTCGTATGCGTGCTCCTGAGAAGGGCCTGTCCCAGTCGGCTTTACCCTATCGACGCAGCTTCCCCACTTGGTTGAAGTTGACATCTGACGACGTGAAGGAGCAGATTTACAAACTGGCCAAGAAGGGCCTTACTCCTTCACAGATCGGTGTAATCGTGAGAGAATCACATGGTGTTGCACAAGTACGTTTTGTGACAGGCAATAAAATTTTAAGAATTCTTAAGTCTAAGGGACTTGCTCCTGATCTTCCTGAAGATCTCTACCATTTAATTAAGAAAGCAGTTGCTGTTCAAAGCATCTTGAGAGGAACAGAAAGGATAAGGATGCTAAATTCCATCTGATTCTGATAGAGAGCCAGATTCACCGTTTGGCTCAATATTATAAGACCAAGCGAGTCCTCCCTCCCAGTTGGAAATATGAATCATCTACAGCCTCTGCCCTGGTCGCATAAATTTGTCTGTGTACTCAAGCAATAAAATGATTGTTTAACTAAAATAAAACAAAAACAAAAACAAAAAAACCATATATGTAAATGGTTCAAAATAGCTAAACATTATCATCATAAGACAACCTATTGTTTAGCCAGGACCTACTACGTGACTTGCCCTTTACATAGATTATTATTAATCTTCAGAATTCTGCAAGGTAAGAATAATATCTATTCTACAAATAAATAAAAACTCGAAGTGACATCATAGCTTGTTCTGGGTCATGAAGCTGAGATTTTAATTAGGACTCTAAGCCTTTCAACTATATGCAGCCCTGTTTCATGAACATGTTCCATATATTACAGACATTCATCTTTAATAGAGTCTTATGCAACTAAGATATTGGTCAGCCTGACAAAATAATACATTTTTAAAGTCTAACCTTCAAATGTCCTTCGCCTGTGAGGAATTCAGAGTAACCAGCATCAGTAGCCAGCAAACCTACAAATTGCATGCTTGGACGTTGTTGTATAAAGGCTTCAACGGCTTTATCTGTCACGTGCTTTCTCCCAGAAACATCCAGAGAAACAAGGTTAGGTAGGATGTCTTTTTGTTCTAGTAAGCGAAGAGCTATGTCTGATGTAAACTGTTTATCATCTGAGATATCAAGATGATTCAGATGTTTGAGTTCCCGAACTACATCCAGTATCTGGGTAGTTGTCATTTTTAAACATTTCAAGTGGTGCATGGTTAGAGACTTGAGTCGGTCTTTGCAGGCCAGTAGAGCAGTGATGTCTGTGATTGAGGTGTTAGAAATATCCAAGCTCTCTAATCTTGGCAATGAGGCAACTTCAGCCAGGTCTTCATTGTAAAAGAGAACATTCGTGATGCTTAAAGCTCGAAGGCCAGAAAGCCGGCTGAAGCAGCGCTCGTAAGGATCCTCGAGGGAGAGAGTTAATGAATTCAGCACCAGGCACTGGAGATTCTGCTGGATCCATTTGTTACTGCCAAGCCCACTGATAATGTCTGTAATCGTGATATCAGCATTCACACCTGTGGCATCAAGTTCCACTAACTTGTGGTGGCAGAAAGCTTTCCGGAAAGCAACAGCAGAGATCTTTGCTTTGCGAATGCAGGCTCGCTTTAAGCGCATCTGGTTGCCCCTAAAAATACCCACAGTTCCATCATTCAATAGACCTGTGGAAAAACAAGCAGCGTTTTAAATTCAAAAAACAGTTAAAGAATAGCCAAAATTTCCATCACACTTTACATTTCCAAAGCGCTCCCATGTAACAGTATCTCGTCTGATAATCACAATTCATTTAGGTGAGATTATTATTGTTTACAACTTGTAGATGAGTAAACTGGGGCTCAGAGAGTGGCTTTCCAAGATCACAGGGCTAGCAAGTGGCAGAATCAGGACTGTGGCAGACATTATTGATATCCACTAACATCTAGTTCTTACCTTACCAGACAACTACATTTCCCAGCCCATCCCTGGAGTTAGCTGGAGCCATGTGCCTAGTTCTGGCCAATGCACTATATGTTGAAGCACCTGAGAGCCAGTGCATGATTTTCCATGCTGTCTTTTCCTGCTATGACAAACGAGGAGACTTCACGTTCTAGAGAGTATAGTTATATGAGGAGAAACCCTCCATCAGTTTGGACCCTAGGGTGACCATGAAGCAGAATCCTCTATGGACTTGCAGAGTTTATGTACCACAAGTGAGGTATAAACCTTGTGTTAAGGTATTTGATTTGTTACCAATACATTTCTAGCCTATCCTTTAAATTCACCTTAACATATTATTATACAAACACATATACACATAATATATTTAGCATGCACTTAATGCCTTGTAATTCATTAATAAACCACTAGCCAGATCTCAAACCTTATTAAAGCGATCTAGGCCTGGGAAACATAGCAAGACCCCATCTCTGCAAAATAACTGAAAACGAGTTGGGCACAGTGGTCATGCCTATAGTCCTAGCTACTAGGGAGGCTGAGATGGAAGGATCATTTGAGCCCAGGAGTTTGTGGTTATAGTGAATTATGATTGCACCATTGCAC
The DNA here is from genome assembly GCF_000001405.40 of Homo sapiens. Classification (NCBI taxonomy): domain Eukaryota; kingdom Metazoa; phylum Chordata; class Mammalia; order Primates; family Hominidae; genus Homo; species Homo sapiens. The sequence goes on along the minus strand of NC_000001.11, from coordinate 52,770,142 downwards.
ACCAGCCTGGGTGACAGAGTGAGAACCTGTCTCTGAAAAAAAAAAAAAAATATATATATATATATATATAGTAGTTACAGCTTCCCCCCACACTCCCCCTCCTGCAGATGAATGTAAATGAAGTCGACACAGTAACCTCTTGAAGTGCCTTCGAGATCTACCTGTCTACCAATCAACAGTGTCACAAGCATATGATACTCTGGAGGCACATCAACATATCACATATCAACTAAACAACATTGACTGTGAAAGAAGTAACAATCATGCCAAAAACAGGTAGTCTAAGAATAGTATGGGGTGAATGAGCAGTTGAGGACAGGTAAATAAATAGCCTGAAGTCATGAGAGGAACTCTAAGGCGGCATCTTAGCTGGCCCATACTCAAAATGCAGCTAGGCTGCCAGCCAGTCACCCTTAAATTAGAAATGAGGTGTTTTTAAAAGGGAGCACTATTCTCTAATGAGTTTTGCAGACTTAATTACAGTTACACAGTTAAAATCAAGAAAGGCCTGTGCAAAACCTGCCAAAGTGGACAAAAATGACTAATTACATATTAAGAACTCCATTACATTTTAGAGCTGTGCTGCCCAATACATAGTCACTAGCTCCACACAGCTGGAGAGCACTTGGAAAGCAGGTGGTACAAAGTGAGGTCAGCTATAAAGTACAAAATATACACCAGATTGTGAAGACTTAATACAACAAAATAATGTAAAGTATCTCAATTTTTTATATATACTACAGGTTGAAATGATCATTTTTTAATATATTGGGTTAAATAAAAATTATTAAAACTCGTTGCACTTGTTTTTCTTTTTATTTTTTTATGTGGCCACCGGTAAATTTAAAATTACATTTCGATTAAACAATGTAGTTCTAGAGACAGCCTTTCAAATTACCTGCACTCTATTTCAGGAGAGTAAATTTCATGATGGGGTCCATTCAGCAAACAGTTTATTAAACAATTACTATATGTCAAGTACTCTAAATGTTGTAGATACAAAGAAAAATAAGATATGCCCCTATAGTCAAAGGATTCATAATCCCATGGAGTAAAAAAGACACAAACAGCCATAACAAAATGAGATATATGGTATATCAATGTCAAGTATAAAGTATCACAAAAACAAAGAAAAGGAAGTAAACCATCATGAATGAAGATCTGGAAAAGATTTGATGGGAGAGGTGATCTTTGAGTAAGGCCTTTGAAAATGCTGGAAGAATTCAAAGATAGAGAAAGGAGGTTAGTAGGCCAGGTGCAGTGGCTCATGCCTATAATGCCAGCATTTTGGGAGGCCGAGGCGGATGGATCACCTGAGGCCAGGAATTCGAGACCAGCCTGGCCAACGTGGCAAAACCGCGTTTCTACTAAAAATGCAAAAATTAAATGGGTGTGGTGGTGCGCGCCTGTAATACCAGCTACTTGGGAGGTTGAGGCAGAGAATCACTCGAACTTGGGAGGCGGAGGCTGCAGTGAGCCGAGATGGCGCCACTGCACTCCAGCCTGGGCGTCAGAGCAAGACTCCATTTCAAAAAAAAAAAAAAAAGAGGAAGAAGGTTAGGTATATTAAAGCAAGAATATACAACATAAGCAAAGTCTTAAAGATGTGAAAGCATATCACGGGGTTAGGAAATGGCAAGTAGTTCTTTCTATATTGCTTGAACATAAGAAATAGCTAGAGCCATAGATGCAGTGCATTTCTGGGGATATAAGCATGCAAATGGGACAGAAGAAATGAGGCTGAAGGTGAGCTGGAGCTAGATCACTCTGAAAGGTGAAGAGATGAAAGCAGATCAGCTAGGGGGGACCTTGGGACCCATGGAACAACGCAGAAAAGTTCCTGGTTTTTTTCTGGTCATATATCCCAGATCTAAAGTTGAAGGAGCCAGCAGCCTGGAAACACCAATGGGCACAGACAAAAACCTCCCCCAAAATCTGCTCTCTCTAGCCAACGTACCAGGAAAGCAGCAACTAGTAAGACAGGAAACAGCTAGTAGACAGTAACTGCTCTACTTCAGCCAAACACGACAGAAAAAACTGCAGCTCCACCCATGCCAGCAAATGCCAATAGGGGCCTAGATTTCTACCCCTGCCAGGCTGTAATTACTTGCCCCAATCTGCCCACAGGGGAGGTGTTAGAGAAGTCTGAGTAGAGAGCAAGGACTTTCATTCCTGCTGGGTAGTAAGAACTATCCCCCACCACGATGTTAGTAGATACCTTCTGGGGAGCCTGAACTTCAACACTCATCAAGCAGCGATGAAGTTCTCTACCTGCTTCCCTGCTGGGGTGCTGTCATAGGAAGTCTAGTGGAAAGTCAGGACTTTCACAACTGCCCAACAGTAATGAGGCCACCTCCTCCCAACATGGTGTCAGTAGAAGCCAACTGGGAAGCAGAAATGACATACCCATACCCCTCTCATTTAGGGAAGTATCAATAGAATCCTAGTGGGGAGTCAGAATTCCAACCTCTGCATAGCCCTGCACCTTGGGTGTCAAGAGAAGCCAAGTGGGGAACCAGAAAGAACATTAACCCTAATCTGGCTGGGCATAGTGGCTCACACCTGTAATCCCAGCACTTTGGGAGGCCGAGGCGGATGGATCACAAGGTCAGGAGATCGAGACCATCTTGGCCAACATGGTGAAACCCCGTCTCTACTAAAACACAAAAAATTAGCCAGGCCTGATGGTGCCTGCCTGTAATCTCAGCTACTTGGGAGGCTGAAGCAGGGGAATCGCTTGATCCCAGGCGACGGAGGTTGCAGTGAGTTGAGATCGCACCATTGCACTCCGGCTTGGGCAACAAGAGCGAAACTCCACCTCAAATATAACATAACATAAAATAAAATAACAACATAACATAAAATAAAATAACAAAATAAAATAACATAAAATAACAACATAAAATAAAATAACAAAATAAAATAACATAAAATAACAAAATAAAATAAAATAACATAACGTAACAAAATAACATAACATAAAATAAAATAACAAAACAACATAAAATAACAAAATAAAATAAAATAACAACATAAAACATAACAAAATAATATAACATAAAATAACATAAAAAATAAAAATAACATAAAATAAAATAACATAAAATAAATAAAATAAAATAATTTTTTTTTTTTTGAGACGGAGTCTCGCTTTTCACCCAGGCTGGAGTGCAGTGGCGCGATCTGGGCTCACTGCAAGCTCTACCTCCCGGGTTCACACCATTCTCCCGCCTCAGCCTCTGGAGTAGCTGGGACTACAGGCACACGCTGCCATGCCCAGCTAATTTTTTGTATTTTTAGTAGAGACGGGGTTTCACCGTGTTAGCCAGGATGGTCTTGATCTCCTGACCTCGTGATCCGCCCGCCTCGGCCTCCCAAAGTGCTGGGATTACAGGCGTGAGCCACTGTGCCTGGCCTATAAAAATTTTTACAAAGAACATTAACCCCAATCTGGCAGTAACAAGGCAGTGCTCCTACCTTCCACTGCTGGAGTGACGTCAGTGACTCAAACTAAAACAGAAAAGTCTCATATCACCTAAAATGTCCTGGTTTCAATAAAAAATTACTCTGAATCATACTAAGAACCAGTAAGACTTCAAACTCAAAAAGAGATAATCAATATATGCCAACAGTAAGGTAACAGAAATGTTAAAATTATTTGACAACGATTTTAAAGGAGCCATAAAAAAATGCAATTAAATTTTCAAAAGTAAACAAATATGCTTGAAAAAAAATGAGTAACAGACCAGGCGCGGTGGCACTTTGGGAGGCCAAGGCAGGCAGATCATGAGGTCAGGAGTTCGCGACCAGCCTGACCAACATGACGAAACCCCATCTCTACTAAAAATACAAAAATTAGCTGGGCATGGTGGCACACGCCTGTAGTCCCAGCTACCCAGGAGGTTGAGACAGAAGAATCACTTGAACCTGGGAGACAGGGGTTGCAGTGAGCCAAGATCGCACCACTGCACTCCAGCCTGGGCGACACAGCAAGATTCTCCATCTCAAAAAAAAAAAAAAAATTTAAAAAAAATTTAATAAGGAAAAAAAGAAAAAAATGAAAACAGACTCAGCAAGGCAAGAGAAGATATAAAGAAGAATCAAATAAAAATTTTAGAAGTGAAAAATATAATAATGCTTGAGGTCAACAGTAAAATAGAGAACAGAGAAAAAAGACTGGTGAACTAGAAGATAAAACAACATAAATTACCTAATTTAAATAACAAGAACAGAATGGGAAAAAAACCAAAACCAAAAACCTAAAGCTATATTTGTGTCACTGGAATATCTCAAGGACAGGAGAAAGACAGTGTGGCTGAAAAAGTACTTAAAGAAATAATGAGCAGGCACAGTGGCTCATGCTTATAATCCCAGTACTTTGGGAGGATGAGACAAGAGGATTACCCGAGGCCAGGAGTTTGAGACCAGCCTGGGCAACATTGCAAGACTCCATCCCAACAACAAAAAATTTTAATTAGTCGGGCATGGTGGTACATACCTGTAGTCCTAGCTAGCTAGTCGGGAGGCTGAGGTCGAAGGGTCGCTTGAGCCCAGGAGTTTGAGATTATAGTAAGCTATGATTGCACTCTAGCTTGGGTGACAGAGTAAGACCCTGACTGGGAAAAAACAAAAAACAAAAAACAAAAAACTGAGTGTGGTGGCTCATTCCTGTAATTGGGAGGCTGAGGTGGGAGGACTGCTTTGAGCCCAGGGGTTCAAGACCAGCCTGCACAACATAGAAAGACATCATCTCCATTACAAATTTTTAAAAATTAGTCAGATGTTGGTGGCATGCACCTGTGATCTCAGCTACTTAGGAGGCTGAGGCAGGAGGACTGCTTGAGTCCAGGAGTTCAAGGCTGCAGTGAGCTATGATCATGCCACTACACTCCAGCCTGGGAAACAGAATCAGACCTTGTCTCAAAAAATAATTTTTTTTAATTAAAAAAAAAGATAGGCTGGATGTGGTGGCTCACGCCTATAATCCTAGCACTTTGGGAGGCCAAGGCAGGAGGACTCCTTGAGGCCAGGGGTTCAAGACCAACCTGGCCAACATAGTGCGACTCCATCTCTATTAAAAAAAAAAAAAAGATCACTCAGAAAAATTGGAAGCAGTGGTTTACATGGAGTTAAGGGAATTTTATCTGATGGCTTCAATTTTCTTCCTAAGATAAATGGTAGAAAGTCTGAGAAGAGCAAAGAACATCTGAAACTACTGTTAGGAACACTAGTTTACTGGGGAAATACTCCAGAACTCCTGGGCAGTGCCGAGGAGCCCGCCTTTATGTTACTGACTTCCCTCCTTGTCATTCAGGTCTCAGTCTAGTATCACCACTTTAGAAGCTTTCTCTGATCATCCAAGTTAAAACATCTCCCTTCCTTTATTATTCTTCTTAAGAGAACAGTGTTCTTTTTCCCTCAGAGAACCTGGCACAAGCTGTAATTCTATATGTTTACTTCCTAATTGTGTCTCCCACTGGACTATACGCTCCATGAAAGCAAGATTCATGTTGCATTCATTGTCTTATTTAAATATTCACAGTAATCCCTGTGAGGGAGTTATAATTATCAACACTTTACAGATGAGGAATCTTAGACTTGCAGAGTAACTTATCCAGGGTCAAAGAGCAAATTAATGTTGGAACCAGGACTCAGACCTAGGACCGATTTATAGAACTCATGCTCTTTTCTTATTTTAAAAAAATCTTGGCTGGGTGTGGTAAATTACACCTATAATCCCAGCACTTTGGGAGGCCAAGGCAGGTGGATCACCTGAGGTCAGGAGTTTGAGACCAGCCTGGTCAACATGGCGAAACCCTATCTCTACTAAAAATACAAAAAAAAAAAAAAAATTAGCCAGGCATGGTGGTGCATGCCTGTGATCCCAGCTACTCAGGGGGCTGAGGCAGGAGAATCACTTGAACCTGGGAGGCGGAGGTTGCAGTGAGCCGAGATAGTGCCATTGCACTCCAGTCTGGCAACAGAGCAAGACTCCATCTCAAAAATAAAATAAAATAAAATAAAATAAAGAATCAACATGCTCTAAATGATAACTCAAGGGCTTCTTTCAAGGAGTAAAATACAGATGCATAAATACAAGGATTGTGCCCCAAAGCATTTTTTCTTTCTTTCTGATTTAGGACAGACAGCTGAAGTGACCAGCAATGTGATCTACAAATAAGTGGGGTGCTAGTCTGGGAGTGTAAGCTTTCAAGCACCTAGAAAGTCTATTTGGCTAGTCAAGGAAGCAATTCGTAATGTTTCAAATTTTCAGTTTTATCCTGAACCAGAAGGCTGAACATGTCAAGATTTATAAATTTAGATTAGATTGACAGTATGACACAGAAACATTATCATTAGATGCTAAAATTCTCACTCTGATTTCTAGCTCTTATGCCCATATTTCCTGGAAAATTTTTAGCATGCAGACACAGATACAATGAGAAAAGATTATGACAAGAGAATCACAGACCCCGATAAGTAGAACTCTAACATCAGATTTATTTTAATTAAGACTGCTACTGGCTGAGTGCGGTGGTTCATAACTATAATACTAGTACTTTGGGTGGCTGAGGCAGGAGGATTGCTTGAGCCCAGCAGTTTGACACCATCCTGGACAACACAGTGAGACCCTGTCTCTACAAAAAAATTTCAAAGTAGCCAAGATCACACCACAGCACTCCAGTCTGGGTAACAAAGCGAGACCCTGCCTCTTAAAATAAAAAATAATTCTAAAAGAAACTGCTTTTATACATACTACTTAAAGCAATCTACAGATGCAATGCAATTCCTATCAAAATACCAATGACTTTTTCACAGAAATAGAAAAAATATCTTAAAATTTGTATGGAACCACAAAAGACCATGAATAGCCCAAGCAATCCTATGCAAAAGGAATAAACCTGGAGGCATCATACTACCAGACTTCAAAATATACTATAAAGCTATAGTAACCAAAACAGCAAATTACCAACATAAAAATAAACACATAGACCACACAGAAACAGAAGAGAAACCCTAGAAATTAATTCACGTATCTACGATCAACTGATTTTTGACAAAGGCACCAATGACATTGACTGGGAAAAGAACAGTCTGGTCAATAAATGGTGCTGGGAAGGCTGGATATCCACAGACAAAAGAATGAAACTAGACCCCCCCCCCCCAATCTCTCACCTTTACAAAAACCAACTCAAAATGAATCAAAGACCTAAATGTAAGACCCAAAACTATAAAACTACTAGAAGAAAATATAGCAGAGGGCCAGGTGCAGTGGCTCACACTTGTAATCCCAACACTTTGGGAGGCCGAGGTTGGCAGATCACCTGAGGTCAGGAGTTCGAGACCAACCTGACCAACATGGTGAAACCCTGTCTCTACTAAAAATACAAAAATTAGCTGGACATGGTGGCGGGCACCTGTAACTCCCAGCTACTTGGGAGGCTGAGGCAGGAGAATCGCTTGAACCTGGGAGGCGGAGGCTGCAGTGAGCTGAAACGGCGCCACTGCACTCCAGCCTGGGTGACAAGAGCAAAACTTCGTCTCAAAAAAACAAATGAAAAAAATAAAATATAGTGGAAACACTTCAGGACATTCATCTGAGAAGATTTTATGAACAAGACCTCAAAAGCACAGGCCAGGCACGGTGGCTCATGCCTGTAATTCTAGCACTTTGGGAGGCCGAGGCAAGAGGATCACTTGAGTTCAAGAGTTCAAGACCAGCCTGGGAACCATGGTAAGGCCCTGCCTCTACAAAAAATTTTAAAAACTACCTGGGCAGGGTGGTACATGCCTATAGTCTCAGCTAATTGGGAGGCTGAAGCAGGAGGATTGCTTGAGCCTGGGGGTTAAGGCTGCAGTGAGCCATGACCACACCACTGTACTCCAGCCTGCATAACAGAGTGAGACCCTGTCAAAAAAAAAAAAAAAAGCACAGGCAACAAAAACGAACATAGACAAATGGGATTATATCAAACTAAAAGCTTCTGCACACCACAGCAAAGGAAACAATCAACAGAGTGGAAAGACAACCTACAGAATGAGAGAAAATATTTGTAGATTATTCAGCTGACAGGGGATTAATATCCAGAATATATAAGAAACTCAAACAGCTCAACAGAAAACTAAACAATCCAATTTAAAAGTGGGCAAATGACCTGAATAGATATTTCTCAAAAGAAGACATACAAATGGCCAACAAATATATAAAAAAATTGCTAAACATCACTAATCATCAAGGAAATGCAAATCAAAACAAGGTATTATCTCACCTCAGGATGGCTATTAACAAAAGACAAAAAATAACAAATACTGGATGTAGAGAAGAGAACTCTTATACATTGTTGGTGGGAATGTAAACTAGTACAGACTCTATGGAAAGCAGCGTGAAGGTTCCTCAAAAAACTACAAATAGAACTACCATATCCAGCAATCCCACTACTGGACATTTATTCAAAGGAAAGGAAATCAAAATTATCAAAGAGACATCTGTACCCCGTGTTTACTGCAGCACTATTCACAATAGCAAGATGCAGAATCAATCTATGTGTCCAATAACAGATGAATGAATAAAGAACATGTGGTGTACATACATAATGGAATACTATGCAGCCAACAAACAGAATAAAATCCTGTCATTCACAGCAAAATGAATGAAACTGGAGGACATTATGTTAAGTGAAATAAGCCAGGAGCAGAAAGTTAAACACAGCATGTTCTCACTCATATGTGAAAGCTAAAAAACTGATCTCATAGAAGTAAAAGTAGAACAGGTTAGCAGAGGCTGGAGACTTGTAGAGAGAAGAGGAGGATAGGCAGAGATTGATTAAAGGATACGTAATTAAGCTAGACAGGAGGAGTCAGTTCTAGTGTCCTACACACTGTATGATGACTACAGTTAACAATAATTCATAGTTTCAAATAGCTACAAGGATGATAGTGAATATTTCCAAAACAAATATTTGAGATGATGAATATGCTAATTACTCCAATCTTATCACTATACAGTATATGTACTGAAGCATCATGACATACCCCATAGATATGTACAATTATTATATGTCAATTTAAAAATACGCCAGCACCAGGCACAGTGGTTCACACCTGTAATCCCAGCACTTTGGGAGACCAAGGCAGGTGCATCATTTGATGTCAGGAGTTCGAGACCAGCCTGGCCAACATGGTGAAACCCTGTCTCTACTAAAAATACAAAAATTAGCTGTGCATAGTGTCAGGCACCTGTAGTCCCAGCTACTTGGGAGGCTAAGCCAGGAGGATCAAATGAACCCAGGAGGCAGAGACTGCAGTGAGCTGAGACTGCACCACTGCACTCCAGCCTGAGCGACAGAGTGAGATTCCATCTCAAAAAAAAAAAAAAAAAAAAGTAGGCCAGGCATGTTGGCTCATGCCTGTAATCTCAATACTTTGGAAGCCTGAGGCAGGAGGCTAACTTGAGGCCAGGAGTTCGAGACCAGCCTGGGGAACATGGCAAGACCCTGTCTCTACAAAAAATAAAAGAAGAAAAAGAAAATTTTTTAACACACAAAAAAGACTGCTACCAATATCATTGATCCTTTGAATTGAGTAAATAAGTAAAAAAATTTTAAATGTATATGTTAAACATTTTCTAAAATCAATATGCTATTAGAAACAGTATGATATTACCAGTTTTTTGTTTTTGTTGTTGTTGTTGTTGTTGTCGTTAAGAGTCTCATTCTTGTCGCCCAGGCTGGAGTACAATGGTGCAATCTTGGCTCACTGCAACCTCCACCTCCGTGTTCAAGCAATTCTCTCTGCCTCAGCCTCCTCAGTAGCTGGGATTACAGGCGCCCGCCACCACGCCGGGCTAATTTTTGTTACTTTTAGTAAAGACAGGGTTTTGCCATGTTGGCCAGGCTGATCTCAAACTCCTGACCTCAGGCGGATCGCCTGCCTTGGCCTCCCAAAGTACTTGGATTACAGGCGTGAATCACTGCCCTTGGCTGATATTACCAATTTTAAAAGTATTCACAAGGCGGGAGCACTGGCTCACGCCTGTAATCCCAGCACTTTCGAAGGCCTAGGCGGTAGATCACTTGAGGTCAGGAGTTTAGGACCAGCCTGGCCAACATAGTGAAATCCCATCTGTACTAAAAAAAATACAAAAATTATCCAAGTGTGGTGGCACATGCCTGTAACCCCAGCTACTCCGGAGGCTGAGGCACAAGAATTGCTTAAACCTGGGAAGCAGAGGTTGTAGTGAGCCGAGATCGCGCCACTGCACTCCAGCCTGGGTGACAGTGCAAGACTCTGTCTCAAGGAAAAAATAGTAACAGCAATAAATAAAAAATAAAAGTATCAACTGAATAACTTTTTTCCCAGTATGAATATTTTCAAACACGAAGAAAAATGTATAAAGCAACTTTTACAAATTGAGACAAGAACTGGCAACATGTTTCTTTGCATATTCTCAGTAGTATCAAATCTTGACTGTTTAAAGATGGAAATGATTTGTATAAAGAGATTAAATAATTCAGAACCCTTCTTGATGAAGAAGACAGGTAATCACACTAGGGTAACACAATTAGGGACAACAAGTTATTTTTCTGACCCTCAGTTTCCTCATCTGAAGGCAGTCTGAAAAGAAGAGGTAGAAAATACATTTCAAGCATGTAGCTTCTCAAAGACATTACTCTGAGGACAAATATTTAGTTAGACTTGCTTAAAACCCACTCCTATTATCTTATCCATATAAAGCATTCGCTATAGTGCCTGACATAATAATAAGCATTTAATAAATGTTAACTACTACTATTAGCTAGCAGTAGTTACATTTCCAAAGGATAACCCAATCTGGCAAAGTTAAGGCCTTAGCATTTGTTCTTTTGATTTACAAGATGAGTTTTCTTTTTTTAATCTAATATACTGAGCACTGGCTGGGTGCAGTGGCTCATGCCTGTAATCCCAGCACTTTGGGAGGCCGAGGCAGGTGGATCACTTGAGGTCAGGAGTTCAAGATCAACCTGGCCAACATGGTGAAACCCCGTCTCTACTAAAAATACAAAAATTAGCTGGGCGTGTTGGTGGGCACCTGTAGTCCCAGCTACTCAGGAGGCTGAGGCAGGAGAATCACTTGAACCCAGGAGGTGGAGGCTGCAGTGAGCTGAGATTGCACCACTGCACTGCAGCCTGGGCAACACAGCAAGACTCCATCTCAAAATAATAATAATAATAATATACTGAGCATAATCATTAAATTGGGATTAGAAAGAAATGCTAGCACTGGCATAATCTCTTAAATCGTTGTGCAGCTGTGTAAGGGACTTTTAACTTTAACATATATAATACAGAAATTTACCCTAGTTCCTATGACAGGTTGGAAAAATTCAAAGAGACTGCTGGCATGAGAAACTTTGTGAAAAACAAGCAATGTAGAGGTCTTCTTCTTTCCTAAATTATTCCAAAATGCCTCAGTTACAGCCTCATTTCATCCTACTCTTTCTTGGAACACATTATTGGCACTTATACTTAATAGTTTTATATATATAAAGCCACAGCAAAAGTATAAACCAGTATGTGGCATCCAGGAGCAGGGATACCTTTAATATAGGTGTAGGAAGGCTGTGTGGCACAGTGGAACGAGCATATATTTAAAATTGGACAGACTTGCACATGAATTAGGACTCCACTATTTACTTGCAGTATGACCCTCAGGACGTTACTTCTCTGAACCTCAGTTTATCTATATGTTAACGGGAATGATAATAGAGCTACCTTATAGAGTTTTTGCGAAAATTCCACGAAAATACATGTAAAATCCCTGGCACATAGGCATTCAATAAATGACAGCTATTATTATTGGCAAATTTACATTCTATTCTATAGCTGTGGACAAATCATATTCCATACTTATGAGTTTATCAACTGTAAAGATATAAAGGTGTATCTTTTTTTTTTTTTTTTTTTTGAGACAGAGTCTTGCTCTGTCGCCCAGCCAGGTGTGCAGTGGCACAATCTCGACTCACTGCAACCTCCGCCTCCTGGATTCAAGCGATTCTCCTGCCTCACCCTCTGAGCAGCTGGGACTACAGGTGTGCGCCACCACGCCCGGCTAATTTTTGTATTTTTAGTAAAGACGGGGTTTCACCACGTGGGTCAGGCTGGTCTCGAACTCCTGACCTCGTGATCCGCCCACCTTGACCTCCCAAAGTGCTAGGATTACAGGTGTGAGCCACTGCGCCCGGCCAAGATATATCTCTTTCAAATTAAAACTTGAAGTAACAAAAATACTCCATACATAAGCAAAACTACACAGATAAGAGCTTCCCAGTTGATTTTCAGCACTGGTTTTTGAAAACCAAAGTACTAAATTGGCTGTGATTTCCCATCTCAAAGGTCAAAATCAGAAATTAGTTTTTCCATAACAGTAATAATCCTCCTACTGTCAAATGAAGACATAAGGCTTTTTGTTATTGTTAGTTTGTTTGTTTTGAGACAGAGTCTTGCTCTGTCGCCCAGGCTGGAGTGCAGTGGTACAACCTCGGCTCACTGCAACCTCTGTCTCCTGGGTTCAAGCGATTCTCCTGTCTCACCCTCCCGAGTAGCTGAGATTATAGGCACGTATTGCCACACTCAGCTAATTTTTGTATTTTAGTAAAGATGGGGTTTCGCCATCTTGGCCAGGCTGGTCTCGAACTCCTGACCTCAGGTGATTCACCTGCCTCGGCCTCCCAAAGTGCTGGGATTACAGGCATGAGCCACCACGCCCGGCCCGATGTAAGGTATTTTATACTGGCAAACCTCCAAATGGATACAAGTTATAGGAGTTATTTCTGACATAAGAATGACTTCTCACCTGGGCATGGTGGCTCATGCCTATGATCCCAGTGCTTTGGGAGGCCAAGGTTGGAAGATTGCTTGAGGAAAGGAGTTTGAGGCCAGCCTTGGCAACAGAGTGAGACCTTATCTCTACAAAAATAAAAATAAAAAAATTAGCCAAGCTATAGTCCCAGCTACTCAGGAAGCTGAACCAGGAGGATCACATGAGCCCAGGAGTTTTGTGCTACTGTACTCCAGCCTGGGCAACAGAACAAGGCCCTGTTTCTTAAAAAATTTAAAAAAAAAAAAAGACTTCTCAAAGTCAAAAAACGTTTGCCCCATTAGAAATGAAAAATGTTGAAATTAGCCAGATGTGGTGGCACAAGCCTGTGGTCCCAGCTACACAGGAGGCTGAGCTGGGAGGATCACCTGAGCCCAGGAGGTTGAGACTGCAGTGAGCCGTGTTTGCACCACTGCACTCCAGCCTGGGTAACAGAGTGAGACCCTGTCAAGGAAAAAAAAAAAAAAAAAAGAAAAATGTTTATTATAAATTACACAGTAAGAGGCAAGATAGGTAAAAATAAATGAATTCATAGTCCTGGAATCAGGCTCATTTGGCCTTCTCAGTTATTTCTAAGAAAATAATTAAATGGCTACTGTAGCACTTCAAAATCAAATCTAATTAACAGCACATAATTTTTGTTTCCTCTGTTTATTTTTTTACCATGAAAAGCCATGGTCCGAAGCAGTCGATCAGCCACCTCCTGTGGGAATACTCCAGGTTCCTGCAGACACAATGTTCCATCTTGTCTGGCTGAACAGAACTTCTCAAGGTGAGTAGTCAAGAAATTCAAGCAGATATCAAGTAAGGAATAGGGAGACGCCTCCTCCTTGGAGCCCAGGGAAAAATATAAAAGAAACACAAAAACCAACTAGTTAGTTTCCAGAAAAGCAGAGAACAAAACATTCATTTACTCATTTCACAAGTATTTCTTTAGTGTCTATCATATGCTAGACACTGTGTAAGGCAGTGGAATACAATCTGTGATCTATGTTCTCAAGAAGCAATAGAAGTGAAACACTGAAACAAACATTTACATACAGCCCCTTTAGTATTAAAATAGAGGACACACTGGGTATTAAGTAAGCACACAGCAGGGGGTTCTAATCAGTCAGGGATGGTGAGCGGAAGACCTCAGAGCTTAGGAAGCTTGTAACCAACTAAAGCATCACAATATGCTGTTCAGACATGAGTATGAAGCTGAGAGAGCTATTTTTTAAAAATAGGGTAGGGCCGAGGTGGGAGGATCACTTGAGGCCAGGAGTTCGAGACCAGCCTGGCCAACATGGCAAAACCCCATCTCCACTAAAAATACAAAAATTAGCTAGGCATGGTGGTGGACGCCTGTAGTTCCAGCTACTCAGGAGGCTGAGGCAGGAGAATCACTTGAATCCAAGAGGCGGAAGTTGTAGTGAGCCGAGATTATGCCACTGAACTCCAGCCTGGGTGATAGAGTGAGGCTCTGTCTCAAAAAACAAACAAAGCCGGGTGTGGTGGCTCACGCCTGTAATCCCAGCACTTTGGGAGGCCGAGGCAGGTGGATCACCTGAGGTCGGGAGTTCGAGACCAGCCTGACCAACATGGAGAAACCCTGTCTCCACTAAACACTAATACAAAATTAGCCAGGTGTGGCGGCACATGCCTGTAATCCCAGCTACTTGGGAGGCTGAGGCAGGAGAACTGCTTGAACCTGGGAGGCAGAGGTTGCAGTGAGCTGAGATTATGCCATTGCACTCTAGCCTGGGCAACAAGAGCGAAACTCCGTCTCATAAAACAAACAAAAAAGACAAGCTTATCCTAAGATTCATATGGAAATGCAACACCTAGAATAGCCAAAACGATCTTGGAAAAGAAAAACAAAGTTGAAAGACTTTGATTACTAAAGTAATCAAAACTGTATGGCACCAGCATAAGGATAGACACATAGATCAATGAACTAGAATTCAGAGTTCAGCAATAAACTCTTACATTCGTGGTCAATTGATATTGACAAGAATGCCAGGATAATTCAACGGGCTTGCTTTTTGGCCGGGTGCAGTGGCTCCCGCCTGTAATCCCAGCACTTTGGGAGGCCGAGGTGGGCGGATCATGAGGTCAGGAGATCGAGACCATCCTGGCTAACACGGTCAAATCCCATCTCTACTAAAAATACAAAAAAATTAGCCAGGCATGGTGGCGGGCGCCTGTAGTCCCAGCTACTCCGGTGGCTGAGGCAGGAGAATGGCGTGAACACAGGAGGCGGAGCTTGCAGTGAGCTGAGATCATGTCACTGCACTCCACAGCCTGGGCGACAGAGCAAGACTCCGTCTCAAAAAAAAAAAAAAAAAGAATAGGCTTTTCAACAAATGATGCTGGGACCACTGGACATCAACATACAAAAGAATAAAGACAAAGTCCTATCTCACATCATATAGAAAAATTACCACAAAATAGATCAAGGTCCTAAATAGTAGAGCTAAGATTGTTTCTCTTAGAAGAAAACATAGGTGTAAAAAGTCCGGGCTTTAGATCAGTAAAGTTTCTTAGATATGACACCAATGTATATCTATTAAACTTCAAAAAAATTAAAAACTTTTGTGCTTCAAAGATCACCATAAAGAAAGTGAAAAGGGCACGGTGGCTAATGCCTGTAATGCCAGAACTCTGAAAGGCTGAGGCAGGAATATTGCCTGAGCCCAGCAGTTTGAGACCAGTCTGAGGAACATGGTGAAACCCCATCTCTACAAAAAATACAAAAATTACCCAGGTGTGGTGGCGCATGCCTGTAACCCCAGCTACTTGGGAGGCTGAGGCAGGAGAATTGCTTGAACCCGGGAGGCGGAGGTTGCAGTCAGCTGAGATTGCGCCATTGCACTCCAGCCTGGGCGACAAGAGGGAAACTCCATCTCAAAAAATAAATAAATGTAAAATAAACTGATAAGAACAGATACTACACTTGATCTTAGCCAAAAGGCCGAGAAATAGTCAAAGGTAGGCCGGGTGCAGTGGCCTCCCAACACTTTGGGAGGCCAAGGTGGGCGGATCACCTGAGGTCAGGAGTTCAAGACCAGCCTGGCCAACATGGTGAAGCCTCGTCTCTACTAAAAATACAAAAATTAGCTGGTGTGGTTGTAGGTGTCTGTAGTCCCAGCTACTTGGGAGGCTGAGGCAGGAGAATCGCTTGAACCCAGGAGGCAGAGGTTGCAGTGAGGCAGGATGGTGCCACTGCACTCAAGCCTGGGCAATAGAGCCAGACTCCATCTCAAAAAAAAAAAGGCAAAGGGGGCCAGGCACAGTGGCTCACACCTGTAATACTTGGGAGGCCGAGGCAGACAGATCACCTAAGGTCAGGAGTTCGAGACCAGCCTGGCCAACATGGTAAAACCCTGTCTCTAGTAAAAATACAAAAAGTGACCAGGCACAGTGGCTTACGCCTGTAATCCCAGCATTTTGGGAGGCCGAGGCGGGTGGATCACCTGCGGTCGGGAGTTCAAGACCAGCCTGACCAACATGGAGAAACTCCATCTCTACTAAAAATACAAAATTAGCTGGGCGTGGTGGTGCATGCCTGTAATCCCAGCTACTTGGGAGGCTGAGGCAGGAGAATCGCTTGCACCCGGGAGGCAGAGGTTGCGATGAGCCGAGATCACACCATTGCACTCCGGCCTGGGCAACAAGAGCGAAACTCTGTCTCAAAAAAAACAAAAAAACACAAAAAATTAGCCAGGCATGTTGGCAGATGCCTGTAATCTCAGCTACTAGGGTAAGGCTGAGGCAGGAGAATTGCTTGAACCTGGGAGGTGGAGATTGCAATAAGCCAAGATCACGCCATTGCACGCCAGCCTGGGTGACAGAGCGAGACTCTGTCAAAAAAAAAAAAAAAGAACAACAACAACAACAACCAGAAGAAGAAGAACAACCATGGACAATAATTGCTGATGGGAGAAAAAATTGGAAACCTCATACATTACTGGTGGAAATAAAAATGTTGCAGCTGCCTTGGAAAACAGCTTAGCAGTTTATTACAAAATTAAACAGTTACCAATACGATCCAGCAATTCTACTCCTAAGTATATACCCAGAAATAAAAACATGTCCACACAAAATCTTGTATGTGAATGTTTACAGAAGCATTGTTCATAATAGTTAAAAAGTGGTCTGAGGTCAGGCACGGCAGCTCACACCTGTAATCCTAGAAGTTTGGGAGGCCGAGGTGGGTGGATCATGAGGTCAGGTGTTCAAGACCAGCCTAACCAACTTGGTGAAACCCCGTCTCTCCTAAAAATACAAAAATTAGCTGGGTGTGGTGGTGCACTTCTGTAATCCCAGCTATTCAGGAGGCTGAAGCAGGAGAATCACTTGAACACAGGAGGCAGAGGTTGCAGTGAGCTGAGATCATGCTGCTGCACTCCAGCCTGGGCGACATAGCGAGACTCTGTACCCCACCCCAAGAAAAAAAAAATGGTCCGAATTGTTTTTACTCACAACACTACTGACACCAAATTTCTGGGCTTTTCCCACGCCAACAACCAGTTCTGACACCAACTGGGTATCCTACAATTCAATTCGAATTCTGACACTAACTACCCAGAATTAGCATAGCACTACAGTTTAGGCCACTGTCCCCACTGCAGGTGCCAGTCACAAGTCCCAGATTTCCACTTGTACTTCTGACCAATGAACTATAAACTGTGGGATTCCAAGATCCCCTGAGGAGGGCCTCATGTTTGATAATCTGCTAATATGACTCACAGAATTCAGGAAGGCACTTCACTTGCCATTAACTTCCAGGGAGGGGAGAGGGACTCAAAGTTGTTAATAACCAATGGCCAATGATTTAATCAATCATGCATATGTAATAATGCATCCACAAAATCACCCAAAAATGGGGTTTGGAAAGTATCCAGGCTGCTGCACACATTGAAGTGCTAGGGGTGGGGTAGGGTGTGCTGGAGGAGGCATGGAAGCTTCAAGCTCCTTCCCCCATAGGTTGCCCTATGTATCTCTTCCATCTGGCTGTTCATTTGTATCCTTTAAAATATCCTTTGTATTAAAGTAAGTAAAATTTTCATGGGTTCTGTGAGCACTCTGGCAAATTATCAAACCCAGGGAGGGAGGTGTGGGAACCTCCAATTTGTAGCCAAGACTGACAGGTGTTGTGGTTAATCCAGAGACCTACTACCTGAATTGGCATCTGAGGGAGGCCATCTTGTGGAAGTGAGCCCCTCACCTGTGAGGTCTATGTTAATGCTGGTTACTGTCAGAACTGAGGTAAATTTTAGGGCACCCAATTGATGTCTGCTGAGAATAGGAGAATTGCTCCGTATAGGGAAAAAAAAAAACCACACATCTGGTCACAGAAGTGTTCTGTGTTGAGAGTACAGTAGGAGAAAACAGTTTGTTTTCTCCTACTATATGGTTTGGTATCAAAAATATTGAGAGTGGTGTGAATATAAAGGAGTATAAAGAAGGAAAAAATGTTGTTTTTCCTATCACATGCCTTGGTCCTTCTGGCAACCAGCCCAGAAAGAAGTTATCTAGGGGCTCCTGGACACCAGTCAACTCATTAGCATACAAAAACTCTTTTCACTTCAGAGCTTCCAAGGGGTTTGGGAGCTAACGTGCAAGAAACAGGGTATGAAGATCAAATTTTGGGGGGTTTTTTGTGTGTTTTTGAGACGGAGTCTTGCTCTGTCACTCAGGCTGGAGTGCAGTGGTGTAATCTTGGCTCACTGCAACCTCTGCCTCACGTCAGGTTCCAGTGATTCTCCTGCCTCAGTCTCCAGAATAGCTGGGACTACAGGCACATGCCACCACGCCCAGCTAATTTTTGTATTTTTGGTAGAGACGGGGTTTCACCATGTTGGCCAGGCTGGTCTCAAATTCCTGACCTCAAGTGATCTGCCCGCCT
The DNA here is from genome assembly GCF_000001405.40 of Homo sapiens. NCBI lineage: Eukaryota > Metazoa > Chordata > Mammalia > Primates > Hominidae > Homo > Homo sapiens. The sequence goes on along the minus strand of NC_000001.11, from coordinate 52,751,396 downwards.
CGGCCTCCCAAAGTGCTGGGATTACAGGTGTGAGCCACCGCGCTGGCTATTTTTTTTTTTTTTTAACTATATCATAGTAGAAACAACCCAAATATATCCATCAAAACTGATAAATGGGTAGGGTGGGATGGGGTGGGCGTGATGGCTCACAATTGTAATCCCAGTACTTTGGGAGGATCACTTGGGCCCAGAAGTTCGAGACCAGCCTGGGCAACATGGTGAAACCCCATCTCTACAAAAAACACAAAAATTTGCTGGGTGTGGTAGCAGGTATCTGTAGTCTTAGTTACTCAGGAGCTGAAGTGGGAGGTTACAGTGAGTCGTGATGGCACCACTGCATTCCAGCCTGGGTGACAGAGCAAGACTCTATTTCAGAAACAACAAAAACCAGATGACTGGATAAACAAAATATAGTACAGCCCCACAATGGAATACTACTTAGCAAAACAGGAATGCTGATGTACTGTACAACATGAATGAGCCTTGAAAACATGCTAAGTGGAAGAAGCCAGTCACAAAAAAACCACGTATTGTATGATCCCATTTGTATGAACTGTTCAGAAGAGGTAAATGTACAGAGACAGAAAGGAGATTATTGGTTGCTTAGGGTTAGAGGGAAGGTGGGTTAGAAGAAAATGGAAAGTGAATGCTAGTGGGCACAGGGCTTCTTTTTGGAGTGATGAAAATGTTCTAAAATTGATTGTGGCTATAGTTGCACCACTCTGCATATACTAAAAACCACTGAACTGGGTACACTTTAATAGGTGAAATGCATGGTATGTGAATTATATCTCAATAAAGCTGCTATTAAAAATAGTTGCCAGAGTCAGGCACGATGGCTCACACCTGTAATCTCAGCACTTTGAGAGGCCAAGGCAGGCAGATCACCTGAGGTCAGGAGTTCAAGATCAACCTGACCAACACAGTGAAACTCTGTCTCTACTAAAAATACAAAAATTAGCCAGGCATGGTGGCCCATGCCTGTAATCCCAGCTATTCAGCAGGCTGAGGCAGGAGAATCACTTGAACCTGGGAGGTGGAGGTTGCAGTGAGCCGAGATTGCGCCACTGCACTCTAGCCTGGGTAACAAGAGTGAAACTCCGTCTCAAAAAAAAAAAAAAAATAGTTGCTGGGGGCCAGGCAGAGTGGCTCACACTTGCAAGCCCAGCATTTTGGGAGGCTGAGGCAGGAGAATCGCCTGAACCCCGGAGGCGGAGGTTGCAGTGAGCCAACATTGTGCCACTGCTCTACTGCCTGGGTGACAGAGCAAGACTCCGTCTCAAAACTAAATTAAAATAAAATAAATAGTTTAAACAAGTGTAAACACAAGACTAGAAATAAATACATCAAAATGCTAATGATGGTTAGAGGTCATCTTATCCAAACTCCACATTTCAAAGATCAGGAAAACAGCTGAAAACTACAGGGAATTGCACCTCAAATATGTTCAATTCATGAGTTCATAATGATACAAAATAAAAACCAACTAGTTATCTTTGAAGGACACCAGGGAAATATCAACTCTGTATTTTGAAAATTGATAAGGATGGGCACGGTGGCTCATGCCTGTAATCCCAGCAGTTTGGGAGGCTGAGGCAGGCGGATCACCTGAGGTCAGGAGTTCAAGACAAGCCTGGCCAACATGGCAAAACCCTGTCTCTAATAAAAATACAAAAATTAGCCAAGCGTGGTGGCAACCCGGGAGGCGGAGGTTGCGGTGAGCCAAGATCGCACCATTGCACTCCAGCCTGGGCGACGAGAGCAAAACTCCATCTCAAAAAAATAAAAAATAAAAAAAAATAAACCCCACAAGATCACCAAGAAATTCCTGTTTGAACACTGGCTTCAAGTAATTCCCTCCTCTATTCCCCAGCAAGTTTAGTTTCTTCAGTTGTTACAAGTAAAAGTTGGAAAAAGAGAGACCTATAAAGTATAAACACTTTAGCAAGGTATTCGAAACATTTTCCTAGCTAGTTCCAATCTTCCTCTCTAGCCTTTCTCACTGTTCCCTTCTCCCTGCCCCAAATAAGCTACCTGCCAGATACACTAAACTGCATGTTTAAGCAACCTAGCACTTACTATTCCTTAAGTACTGTAACAGATATTTTCACATCTCAGAGCTTTTGTTAGTCCTTTTATAGCAAAAATCTCACTCATCTTTCTTTTTTTATTTAGGTATTTTGTTTATTTTTTTGGAGATAGTTTGGCACTTGTTGTCCAAGCTGGAATGCAATGGCACGATCTCGGCTCACTGCAACCTCCACCTCCCGGGTTCAAGCGATTCTCCTGCCTCAGTCTCCCAAGTACCTGGGATTACAGGCACGCGGCACCACACTTAACTAATTTTTTTGTATTTTTAGTAGAAACGGGGTTTCATCATGTTAGCCAGACTGGTCTTGAACTCCTGACCTCAGGCAATCTGCCTGCCTTAGCCTCCCAAAGTGCTGGGATTACAGGCGTGAGCAACCACGCCCGGCCATTTTTTTTTTTTTTTTGAGATGGAAGCTCACTCTGTTGCCCAGGCTGGAGTGCAGTGGTGTGATCTTGGCTCACCACAACCTCCACCTCCCCATTCAAGTGATTCTTGTGCCCACTGCAACCTCCACCTCCCAGTTCAAGTGATTCTCCTGCCTCAGACTCCCAAGTAGCTGGGATTACAGGCGCGTGCACCACGCCCAGCTAATTTTTAGATTTTCAGTGGAGACAGGGTTTCACCATGTTGGCCAGGCTACTCTCGAATTCCTGAACTCAGGTGATCTGCCCGCCTCGGACTCCCAAAGTGCTGGGATTACAGGCATGTGCCACCATGCCCAGCCAGCCTCATCTTTCAAAATTCAAAGCTCACTACTTCTGTGATGTCTTTCCTAATTTCTAAGGCAGAATTAATTTTATTCTCAGCACCTGAAAAATTAAATTGTACCATTAACAACAGCTACTGTGTACTGAATGACAACTGTGTGGTGCCAGCCACCTATGTACTTCATAAATATTTTCAATCTTCAATAAACAACTTTGTTTTGAACAAAAGTAAACTGAGGCTCAGAAAGATTAATTTACATATCAGAGATAAAACAGCCAGCAGATGGCAGAGCAAGAATAAAAATCACAACAGCTATCTTTTACAAGGCATTTATTCTGTATCAGGTCCTGGTGCAGATCTCTTTCCATTTCTACATCCTGAGCCAAGCACAATTACATTATTGCATTTTAAAGATGAGGAAAATAAGGCTTAGGTTAAATCTCTTCCCCATATTCACATGGCCAATATATTGCTAAACCCAGACTTCAACACAAGAATGAGGCCAAAGTTTATATTTTTAAGTTCTTAACTACTCTACTAATATCATAATTATAATTGTAGAGCACTTATATGCTAATATATGCTATGTGCTATATGCTACTAACTATGCTAAGTGCTTTACATATATAATTTCATTTATTTCTCATAAGAATTCTATAAATTAAATTCCATCAGTATCCCTATTCTACAGATAAGGACATTGAGGCTATCAGAGTTTAAGTAATTTGCTCAAGATTACAGAGCTAATAAATGGTAGAGTCAGGATTAGACCCCAAGCAATCTGACTCTAGAGTTAAATCTGTGCTTTTACCACTACATACACTGCCCTTTATATCTGATTCCCAAGCTAGTTTTCTTTTACAATTCCATGTTACACCATGGTTATCTATGACTGTATCTGTTTACCCCACTCAGCCATGAACTCTTCAAGTAGAAGGAACTTGTTAACCCTTCCTTTATCCCTAGAACCACATGCAGTCCCTGATTTTTACCTGTTACGAGAGAGAGAAAAAAAAAAGAGTGAGTTCAAATTAAGAGAGTGGTAAAGGAACTTTCCCAGTGTCACATACTGTAGAAAGTGGGGCCAAGATACAAACCCAGGTCTGTTAATAATGAAGTCCATACTTTTTCTGCTACACCATATCATCTCTCAAACAGAATAATTATTAGTCTGGCTTTGAAATAAATGCCAAAATACAACTTGGGACTAACTAGTTAACAGTGGCCCAGACAGGAGGTGATGATGCTATGGATTAGAGTACAGGCAATGAAAATGCAAAAAAAAAAAAATCAAAAGTGAAAAATATTTTGCAGAAAAGAACTGATGAAATGTAGTAAAGAATCAAACAGGAAATCAGTGCTGACTTTTTCTTAATACCTAGAACCTAGTATAACATCTGGCACCCTAGTAGACAGGCAAGTGTTCTTTCAAAGACTGATCAACATTCATACAACACATTTCTTACACACATTGTATCATTTACCCCTCACAACTTTCTTGTAGAACTTCTATACTAGATACCATTTTGTATATGAGGATGCTGGAACTCAGAAATAATAATGTACCCAAGTTCATATATTTAGAATGTGGCAGAACTGGACCTTGAACCAATCTTCAATGCCAAATATCATGCCCTTTGTCTTACCCATAAGGCCTCTCAGATGGAGGGAAAGGATGGAGGGGGGAGTAAAGACCTTACCCGCCAAAAAAAAAAAAAAACTCCAAAAATAAATCCCAGATTTAACCCAGATCTGTTAATTATGGTCAGAAGAGATAATGAAGCCCTGTAATTACCTCAAGTACAGCAAGCAGAGTGACACAGCCCCTGAGCAATGGCTGAAAATATATTCTATAGCAAATAGGAAAAACAATTCCAGCCGCAAAAAAAAAAAAAAAAAAAAAAAAAAACAGTGGCCGATCTTTATTTTTTTGGTTAATATAGTGTTTTTTTGGGACATGATATAAACCTGATAAATGTGAATTTTTCAAGTAAAGTTTGCCCAGATTGGTCCTCTCAAATACTGCTGGTTGGAGTGTAAATTGGCACAATTTTTCAGAAACTAGGGAAGTCCCTTTATCACTCTCCTAATTTGAACTCATTCTCCTTTTTGTTCTTCTAATAGGTAAATATCAGGGACTATGCTGGGTTTGGGGGATACAGAAAGGGTTAATAATTCTGCTTGGTTTATCTGTGAACTCTATTCTACTTCATGATGTTTCAAGAAATGCAAATAAAGACTGAGTTATTTCAAAATGACTTTTTGTTTGCAGGATTGTGTTCCATGGATTATGACACTGCACTAAGACTAGACCACACAGGTCATAACTTAAAGAGTTAAATATTCGCCAGGTGCGGTGGCTCACACCTGTAATCCCAACGTTTTGGGGGGCCAAGGCGGGTGGATCACGAGGTCGAGACCATCCTGGCTAACACAGTGAAACCCCGTCTCTACTAAAAAAAATACAAAAAATTAGCTGGGCGTGGTGGCACGCGCCTGTAGTTGCTACTCAGGAGGCTGAGGCAGGAGAATTGCTTGAACCCAGGAGGTGGAGGTTGCAGTGAGCCGAGATCGAGTGCCACTGCACTCCAGCCTAGGCGACAGAGTGAGACTCCGTCTCAAAAAAAAAAAAAAGTTAAATATTCAAGCGATTCTCCCCTTGTTTGCACCATTGCACTCCAGCCTGGGCAACAAGAGTAAAATTCCGTCAAAACAAAACAAAACAAAAAAAACAGCTGGATGCAGTGGCTCACACCTGTAATCCCATCACTTTGGGAGGCTGAGATGGGTGGATTGCTTGAGGTCGGGAGTTCAAGACCAGCCTGGCCAACATGGTGAAACCCCATCTCTACTAAAAATACAAAAATTAGCTGGGCATGGTGGTGGATGCCTGTAATCTCAGCTGCTCGGGAGGCTGAGGCAGGAGAATTGCTTGAACCGGGAGGCAGAGGTTGCAGTGAGCCAAGATCGCGCCACTGCACTCCAGCCTGGGCAACAGAGTGAGACTCCATAACAAACAAAAACAAAGAAAACCACCAGGTTAGAGCCATGCCTTATACATCTCCATATCCCCTATGCTTACAGAGTAAATGTTTCAGTGTCTACTGAGTAAGAAGTAAGTATGAATAAATGAACTACCTATAAGCAGATCCTCTGCTCTTGAACCACAGCTTCTTATAAAAGCAAGGCATACCAGAGAGCATGGGGCAATGAAGACAAGGCAAAAAAGGAATCTCAATCCATTAGCTCTTCCTAAACCTTCTCATAGCTTTCTTTTAATCTCTACCCTTCCTTCCCACAACCCCCACTCCGGTTTTTATTGGTCTTCCTAAATGCTCCTGCCTTGAAGTATTTAGTCATTTACACAACACTCAACTAGAGGTATTCTCAGTAATTTCCCCAAGACTCAGTCAGTTATCTGTTTTGTTGGTTAGTTTGTTTTGTGTATTAAAAGCTTCATTCTGTTACTGTATTGCCAGAGCCATGGCAAAGAAGCATTTCAACCTTCTGAGCACTTGTGGACTTCAGAATCTCTGAGCAATGAGGTTTATGTTTTGGTTAATTATAAGAAAAAATATCCTTTGTGAATTATGCTGGTAGCAATGCCTTACAGTAAACAAAGCATATTCACATCCTGATTTCATTTGATACTCACAATAACCTTACAAAGTAGAAGAAAAAGTATTAAAATTTTCATTTTACAGTTAAGAAAGCTGAGGCACAAAAATGACTTCTCTAGAAATATATTTTTTTTTTGATATGGAGTCTCGCTCTGCCAGGCTGGAGTGCAGTAACGCGATCTCAGCTCACTGCAACCTCCTCCGCCTCCCGGGTTCAAGAGATTCTCCTGCCTCAGCCTCCTGAGTAGCTGGGACTACAGGCGCGTGCCACCATGCCCGGCTAACTTTTTGTATTTTTAGTAGAGACGGGGTTTCACCATGTTAGTCAGGATGGTCTCGATCTCCTGACCTCATGATCCGCCCGCCTTGGCCTCCCAAAGTGCTGGGATTACAGGCGTGAGCTAGCGTACCCAGCCCTTCTCTAGAAATATCGTAGTTAAGAACAACAGTAGAACTGAAGTTGAATTCTAGTGTTATCACAATGGTCAAATTACCTAGCTCTTCTGACACTCAGTTCTATCCTATGTAGAGTGGGGATAATATTAGTACAGTCATGTGTTGCTTAACAACAGGAATATATTCTGAGAAATGTGTCATTAGGCAATTTTGTCATTGTGTGATCATAGAGGTGGTAGATAGGATGCAAAAACCTGTACAGCATGTTACTGTACTGAATACTGTAGGCAACTGTAACAAAATGTTAAGTATTTGTGTATCTGAAAAATCTAAACATAGAAAAAGGCTGGATGCAGTGGCTCACACCTGTAATCCCAGCACTTTGAGAGGCTGAGGTGGGCAGATCACTTAAGGTTAGGAGTTTGAGACCAGCCTGGGCAACATGGTAAAACCCCATCTCTACTAAAAATAAAAAAATTAGCTGGGTGTGGTGGCTTGTGCCTGTAGTCCTAGCTACTGGGGAGGCTGAGGCAGGAGAATCGCTTGAACCCAGGAGGCGGAGGTTGCAGTGAGCTGAGATCAATTGTGCCACTGCACTCCAGTCTGGGTGACAGAGCGAGACTCTGTCTCAAAAAAAAAAGAAAGAAAAGAAAAGGTACAGTAGGGATAGGCATAGAAGATAAAAAATGGTACACCTGTAGAGGGGACTTAACATAAATGGAGCTTGCAGGACTGGAAGGTACTTGGAATATATCAGTTGAATCAGTGATAGTGAATGTGAAGGCCTAGGACATTACTGCACACTATTGTAGACTATAAATACTTAAGCTACACTAAATTTATTTAAATGTTTTTTCTTTTTGGGGGGTGGGGACAGAATCTATCACCCAGGCTGGAGTACAGTAGTGTGATCATAGCTCACTGCAGTCTCAATTTCCTGGAATCAAGCGATCCTCTCACCTTAGCCTTTGGAATAATACGTGGGACTACAGGTGTGCACCAAAGCACCCAGCTAATTTTTTTTTATTTTTGGTAAAGACAAGGTCTTGCTATGTTGCCCAGGCTGGTCTCGAACTCCTGAGCAAATTTGTCTTTCTTCAGTAATAAATTAACATTATCTTACTGTAACTTTCTTAGCGATTTTATGAACTTTTACTTTTTTTTTTTTTTTTTTTTTTAGTATTTATTGATCATTCTTGGGTGTTTCTCGGAGAGGGGGATTTGGCAGGGTCATAGGACAATAGTGGAGGGAAGGTCAGCAGATAAACAAGTGAACAAGGGTCTCTGGTTTTCCTAGGCAGAAGACCCTGCGGCCTTCCGCAGTGTTTGTGTCCCTGGGTACTTGAGATTAGGGAGTGGTGATGACTCCCTAATCTCAGAACCAAATGGAGTCTCCTACGTCTACTTCCCTCTACACAGACACAGCAACAATCTGATTTCTCTCTCTTTTCCCCACATTTCCCCCTTTTCTATTCGACAAAACCGCCATCGTCATCATGGCCCGTTCACAATGAGCTGTTGGGTATACCTCCCAGATGGGGTGGCGGCCGGGCAGAGGGGCTCCTCACTTCCCAGACGGGGCGGCCGGGCAGAGGCGCCCCCCACCTCCCGGACGGGGCGGCTGGCCGGGCGGGGGCTGCCCCCCACCTCCCTCCCGGACGGGGCGGCTGGCCGGGCGGGGGCTGCCCCCCAGAACTTTTACTTTTTTATTAACTTTTTGACTCTTTTTTTTTTTTTTTGAGACGGAGGCTCGCTCTGTCGCCCAGGCTGGAGTGCAGTGGCACGATCTCGGCTCACTGCAAGCTCCGCCTCCCGGCTTCAGGCCATTCTCCTGCCTCAGCCTCCCGAGAAGCTGGGACTACAGGCGCCTGCAACCACGCCCGGCTAATTTTTTGTATTTTTAGTAGAGACGAGGCTTCACCATGTTAGCCAGGACGATCTCGATCTCCTGACCTCGTGATCCGCCCGCCTCCGCCTCCGAAAGTGCTGGGATTACAGGCGTGAGCCACCGCGCCTGGCCTACTTTTTGACTCTTGAAGTAACAAAACATAAACACATTGTACAGCTGTAAAAAAATACAAAAAAAATTCTCTCTTTTACATCTCTTTTTCTATCTTTTATTTTTTTTAGAGACAGGGTCTTGCTCTGTCACCCAGGCTGGAGTACAATAGCATAATCACAACTCACTGCAGCCTCGACTTCCCAGGCTCAAGAGATCCTCCCACCTCAGCCATCCGAATAGCTGGGACTACAGGCACGTGTCATCATGTCTGGCTAATTTTTTGTTTTTGTGTAGAGACGGGGTCTTACTATGTTGCTCAGGTTTGAACTCCTGGGCTCAAGTGATCCTCCTGCCTCAGCCTCCAAAGTGCTGGGGTAATAGGCGTGAGTCACCATGCCTGGTCTCTCAACTCATAAGAATCAGGCTCAAGATGTCCTACCCAAAAGCTTCCTAAGACTGACAATTCCTGTAACAGAACACAAGGGCTTTCACAGTGCTCCTTTATTGTATCTTTGGGTGACTTTTTTCTAAAGATTGGGCCAGAAATCAGGTGACTACAAAAATTACAAACTCGACAATTTAATGATAGAAATAGATTTTTTATGGATATCTTTCTAAAAGACTATGTAATACTATGATGAAGAGTGTGGGCTTGGGAGTCAGACTGCCTGGATTAAAATGCCACCTCTACCATTTACAAACCTATATAACCTTAAGCAAAGTACTTAATCTCCCTGAACCTCAGTTTCATGATTGTAAAATGAAGACAAGAGCAGTGCCTATGTCATAGGATTGTTGCCAGAATTAAATAAATTCTAAATGCAACACACTAAGAACAGTAACTGGCATATACTACCTGCTCAATAAATGTTATTACCACAGAATATCAGCTGCATAGAAAAAAACCCCGCATTTTCTTCTCTACTGTATTCTCAGAGCCTAAAACAATGCCTACTACATAGTGGGCACTAAATGTTTATTGCATGAATAAATGAAAAGTCAAGCATGAATTTATTGTTAAGCATAACTAAAATACACATTTGCCTCTAGAGAAAAAGACTACGTATCCAGAGAGAAATATTAAGTCCCAAGTCTAGCCTTGAAACCAAAATGAAACTGAAAGGCACTCAAGTATCATTTGAGTTCACAGGTACCTATGAGAAATTGAGATGTTAGATATCTCTGACTTCTCATCGTAATACTCCATGGAAAATCTCCTCTTAGTTGTTTGGGTTTTTAAAAAACTTTCTTTTCTTTTCTTTTTTTTTTTTTTTTTTTTTGAGACGAAGTCTCACTCTTTTGCCCCAGGCTGGAGTGCAATGGTGCAATCTCGGCTCACTGCAACCTCTGCCTCTTGGATTCAAGCAATACTCCTGCCTTAGCCTCTCGAGTAGCTGGGATTACAGGTGCATGCCACCACACCCGGCTACTTTTTGTATTTTTAGTAGAGATGGGGTTTCACCATGTTGGCCAGACTGATCTCGAACTCCTGGCCTCAGGTGATCCACCCGCCTCGGCCTCCCAAAGTGCTGGGATTACAGGCATGAGCCACCCCGCCCAGCAAAAACTTTTATTTTCTATTACAAATTCAACCAAGTCAGGCTTCCAGAAATAAACATCTACTATAACCTTAGAGATGATCTAATCCCTTACCCTCCCCCGCCCCAACTGCAATCATTTTACAGACAAAGAGGAAGGTCAAGAAGGTAGTACCAGCAGGGCGCAGTGGCTCACACCTGTAATCCCAGCACTTTGGAAGGCCAAGGTGAGCAGATCACTTGAGGCCAAGAGTTGGAGACCAGCCTGGCCAACATGGTGAAACCCCGTTTCTACTAAAAATACAAAAAATTAGCTAAGGGTGGTGGCGCATGCCTGTAATCCAAGCTACTCAGGAGACTCAGCCATGAGAATTGCTTGAACCCCGGAGGCGGAGGTCGCAGTGAGCTGAGATGGTGCCACTTGCACCCAGCCTGGGTGACAGAGACCCTGTCTCAAAAAAAAAAAAAAAAAAAAGAAGGTAGTACCAAGGGCATAGATCACAGACAATAGATAACATTGTGTTTAAGGGTATGGAGATATTGAACTATTTGGTATAAACTATGGGGAATTGTTTTTCTTTTTAAAAGAACACCAACTACTCTTTGGAGACTCCTAGATGACAAATTGAAAAGCAAGTAAAGCAAGCTTCTTGCACATATCACTTTAAGGCCTGGCCACTATGGCAAGTGGATATGTGCTAAAGGGCAAGGAGGTAGAGTTCTACCTAAAAAAGATCAAGAGCTGGAAAGCTACATAAATGCCCTGCTCTTTCATCTAACGTCATGTGATAAAGCTATTCTAGGAAACAAAACAAAAATTCAGGTCAGTGGCCATTGAGCAGATCACAGGAATTGTCCACTCAAAGAGATACTTTAGCACTATTTTCCTGTTACCTACAATAACCAGGAGTTTTGAAATATAATAAGGTAAACAGAGAAGTGGGGTTAATAATGGAAAGAACACTGGGCTTGCACAGTCAGTTCTGGCTCTGCTACTTACTAGCTGTGTGACCTTAGGAAAGTCAATTAACTTCTCAGTTTCCTTATCTGAAAAATTGAAGCTAAACCTCTTGACTATCCCACAAAATAGTAATGAGGAATAAATGGGACATCCATGAAAATACCTTTAAAACAAGGGCCAGGAGCGTGGCTCATGCCTGTAATACCAGCACTTTGGGAGGCTGAGGCAGGCAGATCACTTGAGGTCAGGAGTTCAAGACCAGCCCGGCCAACATGGTGAAACCACATCTCTACTAAAAATATAAAAATTAGCCAGGCATGGGGGTGGGCGCCTGGGAGGCTGAGGCAGGAGAATCACTTGAACCTGGGAGGCAGAGGTGGTAGTGAGCCAAGATCATGCTACTGCACTCCAGCCAGAGCTTCAGAGTGAGACTCTCTCAAAAAAAAACAAATTAAAATAAATAAATAAAACAAAGTACTTTGCAAATATTAACTTAATTGAAATAAAAGGTCTCTGGTGTGAAAAAGGTGGGTAATACATTGAGAGGTTAGAGCTCAAGTTTACACAAAATTTAAGCCTATAAAAACAGTTTGCCCAGATCCCATAGTACTACAGCTAATAGAATGTATCTACTCTACTCTACTTGCCTTTAACTTGCTAGAATCTTACTACCTTTTCTTTAAGAGATGGAAGGAATCACACAGAGGATTAATATAACCTTTTCATTTTACAAATTTAAAAATGGAGGCATAGAGAGTTAAAATGACTTGTGAAAGTTTACAGGGCCAGCTGGGCACTGTGGCTCTGGCTCAGACCTGTAATTCCAGCACTTTGGGAGGCCGAGGTGGGCAGATCACCCGAGGTCAAGAGTTCAAGACCCACATGGCCAACATGGTGAAACTCTGTCTCTACTAAAACTACAAAAATTAGCCAGGCGTGGTGAGGGGTAACTGTAATCCCAACCACTCGGGGGCTGAGGCAGGAGAATCGCTTGACCCCGGGAGGCGGAGGTGGAGGTGGCAGTGAGCCAAGATCGTGTCACTGCGCTCCAGCCTGGGTGATACAGTGAGACTCTGTCTCCAAAAAAAAAAAAAGGTTACAGGGCCTATGAAATGAAAATTATAAATGTTATATAACCAAGAATATTCCAGCTTTAAAAAAAAAAGTCCTGGCCGGGCATGGTGGCTCACACCTGTAATCCTAGCACTTTGGGAGGCCAAGGTGGGCGGATCACCTGAGGTCGGGAGTTTGAGACCAACATGGAGAAACCCCGTCTCTACTAAAAATACAAAATTAGCCAGGTGTGGTGGTGCATGCCTGTAATCCCAGCTACTCAGGAGGCTGAGACAGGAGAATCACTTGAACTTGGGAGGTGAGGTTGTGGGGAGGCAGTGGTTGCGGTGAGCCAAGATCACACCATTGCACTCCAGCCTTGATAACAAGAGTGAAACTCCATCTCAAAAAAAAAAAAAAGTCCTTAGAAAAGAAAAATATGACATTGAATAGGCATTAAGACACTGGAAAGCTAAGAAAAACATTTATACAAAGGAGAACTGAAGATAACAGAAAAAACAAAAGATCTTTATATAAAGCTATTAAGGCCAGGTGTAGTGGCTCATGCCTGTAATCTCAGCACTTTGGGAGGCCGAGGCGGGCAGATCACTTGAGCTTAGGAGTTGGAGACTAGCCTGGCCAACATGGTGAAACCCGGACTCTACTAAAAAAGTACCAAAATTAGCCGGGCATGGTGTCAAACACCTGTAGTCCCAGCCACTTAGGAGGCTGAGGCTGCAGTGAGCCAAGATGCCACCACTGTACTCCAGCCTGGGCGACAGAGTGAAGACCTTGTCTCAAAAAAATAAAAATAAAGAAAAAGTTAATAAAAGTTTTTAAAAGAATTAACCACCCCTCTAGATTTAGCAGTAACTGATTATTTATTATCTGAGTTTAAACATTCTACTCTCTGGAAGAACACCTCTACAAATTATATAGACAAGTGACTTTCAAGTGTTTATACAAAGGGATACTGCTTCGCAATTCATCTCAAAATCAGGAGGCTGTCTTCTCAGCTCTTCCTGTTAAATCCTTGTGGACAGAACATTTATCCTAGGTCAAAAGTGCCATTTAGGCTAGTAAAAGAAACTATCTGATCTAACATTTCTCACCTACCCAACCTCTTTTCCCCTCAGGGGACCTGTACAGAGTGTTCAATTTTTTTCATCTATCACAACATCTCAGTTAACATTACCTTATGCAATTCTCTATCAAACACACACTGATGAAACATCATACTGCTCAGTATTGTTGTGTTTTTTTTGAGACAGGGTTTTGCTCTTGTTGCCCAGGCTGGAGTGCAGTGGCACGATCTTGGCTCACTGCAACCTGTCTCCTGGGTTCAACCAATTCTCTTGCCTCAGCCTCCCAAATAGCTGGGATTACAGGCATGCCACCACGCACAGCTGATTTTTGTATTTTTAGTAGACATGGGCTCCCACTATGTTAGCCAGGTGGTCTTGAACTCCTGACCTCAGGTGATCCGCCCGCCTCGGCCTCCCAAAGTGCTGAGATTACAGGCGTGAGCCACCACCAGCCAATATTGTTCAGTTCAATATTGATAAGTACTTACTACATGTCAAGCACTATGCTAAGTGCTTATGACATGAAACTGTAAAAACACAGCACTGTCCTGCCCTCAAAGAGCTCACAATCTGGAGACACAGCCAGCCTCATTAACAAATAATAATACCACAGAAAACAACTGCTATAACCAGGGCACATACACTGTACAGGAGAGGCATACAGAAATGCCTAACCCAAGGTTTCCTGGAGGCAACCAAAGCCTTCACAAAGGAGGTAGGGCATAAAGGGACACTTGAAGGTTTAATAATTAAGAAGTAGTACCAGGCACAATGGCTCACGCCTGTAATGCCAGCACTTTGGGAGGCCGAGGTGGGTGGATCACTTGAGGTCAGGAGTTAGAGACCAGCCTGGCTAACATGGTGAAACCCCAGCATTCCAGGCAAAAGAAACAGTGTAAGCAAAACTTAGAGGCACAAAAAACAGCATAATGTTCATGCAGTATTACTGAGCATAAAATGTAAAGATTTTTTCTCATAAAATGAGAAATAAGGCTAAAGCAGTAAAAAAGATCAGATCATAAAGGTCCTAGTATACTACATAAAACACTTTCAGGCCAGGCACAGCGGCTCACACCTGTAATCCCAGCACTCTGGGAGGCCAAAGGGGGCAGATCACTTGAGGACAGGAGTTCGAGACCAGCCTGACCAACATGGCAAAACCCCGTCTCTACTAAAAAATACAAAAATTAGCCAGGCGTGGTGGTTCACGCCTGTCATCCCAGCACTTTGGGAGGCCAAGGTGGGCGGATCACCTGAGGTCAGGAGTTCGAGACCAGCCTGGCCAACATGGTGAAACCTCATCTCTACTAAAAATACAAAAATTAGCTGGGCATGGTGGCAGGTGCCTGTAATCCCAGCTACTCAGGAGGCTGAGGCAGGAGAATTGCTTGAACCTGGGAGGCCGAGGTTGCAGTGAGCCGAGATGGTGCCACTGCACTCCAGCCTGGGTGACAGAGCAAGAATCCATCTCAAAAAAAAGAAAAAAAAGAAAAAGAAAAAAATTAGCTGGGCATGGTAGTGCATGCCTGTGATACTCAGGAGGCTGAGGTGGGAGAATCACTTGATCCCGGGAGGCAGAGGTTCTAGTGAGCTGAGATCACGCCACTGCACTTCAGCTTGGGTGACAGAGAGAAACTCTGTCTCAATAAATAAATAAATAAATAAAACACTTTCATTCAACAACTATTTGCTGAGTCCCTACTATGTGCTAGACATCACCAAGTACACAGGATACAGATCTCTGTAGATTCACTGCTGTCTATATGAATGGCTGTTAGCTGAATTGTGCAGTACAATCTGTATAGCACAGCAGCCCTGTAAGACCACTGTAAACTAGCAGGGCCGAAACTGCAGGCTCCACAAGGATCTTAAGGAGTTCACAAATTCCCATGCATATCAAGTACACTCTGTACACAATAATATCTTGATATTTTTAATGCATAATAGATGTTAGACTTAACAGAGTATCATTTTAAAATATTACTGAATTCCTACTGGACCTGCTTTTTGCTTTTTCTCCCCCACAATTAATATGTTCTGAAAGTATGTTACTGTCCTGTCTCTCAAGGTTTTCAGTGTTAAAAAGGTATCTTCACAGGGTCTATTGTCTCAGACAATAGGGAGGAATTTAAAACTTCTGAGTAGGAAGACCAAGGCAGGCAGATCACTTGAGGTCAGGAGTTCGAGACCAGCCTAGCCAACATAGTGAAACCCCATCTCTTCTAAAAAATACAAAAATTAGCCGGGCATGGCAGTGGGCGCCTGTAGTTCCAGCTATTCAGAAGGCT